>NC_000013.11:79936512-80089353 GCF_000001405.40 Homo sapiens
GAACAGAGCCTGCTTTGTCCCCTGCAACAGGGATCTGGAAGCATTTTCAATCATTTGCACTCTATACCCACTCAAACGCATTAATGTGATCAACATTAGGCCTGTTGTGGGCATTTTTTCCAGCAAATAGCTTGCTAACATTCCAGGCATGTACTTCCCTGAAAACAAGACTGAGACAGGGCCCTGAATATTCAATTGGAAAATCACCAAGAGCAAAAGCTTAGCTTGGCACGGCTGGTGTTGATTCTTAATAAGTGACTTCCTAAAGCTGAGGCATGGGGCTTACAGCGTCAATGACTTGTTTGAAAAATATTTTGTAGGTGCCTCATACCACTCTGTTTCCTGTGGTATGCGTCATATTGTGAGCTATTCCAAGCTGGCCTGGTTAAGCACGCTAAGTTTTTCCCCCCAAGATTGTGGTGTTTAACTAAAAATGTCTTTATACAAGATGAGCTCATAGCTATTAGTGCTGATGTAGTTTTAACTGCTTGGATACCAACTGCAGTCGCTTGAAAATGTACTGCAGAAGGGTAAACGCAAGCAAAAACATATCTCACCCCGTCTAAAATGGCGGGATGCAGTCCCAGCGGCAGCGTTTCTTCAGGGGAGAAAGCTCCAGATTTAAGTACAATGCATACCTTTCACTTTCATTAAAAAGACTTACTGTTCTTAGTACATTACTAAAGTCAAGGTGCTGAAGACATCTGGTACACTGGAATAAAATTAACCCTTTTTATGGCTTCGGGTGTTTTGTAAAACTTGCCAAGGAGCAAAGCTAAGGTAATTGGAGAAAACAAGTGTATCTTTTCAATCAAATTTCCAAAAGGGAAACAAAAAGAGATCCAACGACCTAAAATTCTATCTCTGAGATTAAAGTACATACAAGTAGGATTTGCATAAGGTTCAAATAATAAGATATCGAATATAAAATGTCTTGACAGTTATTTAGAAATCAAAAGATGGGTAAGGGAATTAATACTGTTGTGTCCTCTGTATACCTCACATAGCTTTCGGCCTTTCTACCTTCTACATTGTTCTTCACAGCACTTATGGTGTAGAGATTATTATTTTCCTTTTGCAAACAAGGCCAGAGAATCCCAGAGGGATTCAGTAAGCTCCCCAAGGCCACACAGTTGATTAAGTATAGAAGCAGGATTCGAAATTAGGTCAGTGTGAATAGCAAGCTTGTGTTCTATCCCCTACCTTGCTACTTACAGATAAAAATATTCTCATCTCTATTATGGCTGTAATTGTCTACTTGTTCAAAGGCTGTGTGTTGGCCATGGTGTACTGGGCTAGAACAGGAGATGAATATAAATCTGTGTCATATTCCTTCCTGTCTCCCTCTAGTGAATAGGTTACAGACAGTATCTAGTTTGGGGCCCATACCCAGTAGGTGCCCAGTGGCTATTAAGTGATTAGACATTGTACATGCCATCTCTGAATGATTTGTGTTTCTACAATAGGGCCTTTTATAACAGAGAAGAGAGGGATTGATACTCTGGACACTGCTGGGGCTGTGTTTGCCTCTCGGGGCAAATAATTTTTCTTGGTGCCAGGAGCAGCTCTGACGTGGCTGCTCTGCCCTTATGTGGCCTGGGCCTTTGAGATCCAGAGCAAGAGCCTGGCCTGGTCTGGGATAAGGCAAGAATGCATCAAGGTGGAGCCAGAGAAGCCAGAAGAGGCGACTGTGAATGTCTGTCTATCTCCACGAACGTGTCACTGAGGAGACAGGAGAATGTCTATAGGAAGTGAGCAAGACAATTTCTGAGACAATGAGTTATTGGACAAATGCACTGAATAGCATTATAAAGGGAAGTAGGGACCTCAATTCCCCTCCATATTTAGGAAGGCACATAATGAGGCCCTACCCATGAAGTGGAAAAAGGGGCTTTTGTGTTGGCTATTCTCTGTGAGTAAGTAAGTGTTTTGGCTGTCTGGCTTAGGGGATACAGAATTATGCATCAGGACTATATATTGTGAGTTGATCCCTTATGCGCTGATACGTAGTGCATTATCTAAAGGAAATAACTTGCTTCTTGATTGAGGTTTGCAAACTGGGCATGTTTTCTTTTCACAGTATTAAAGAAATATAAAATTTTTACAAAAATTCCGTGACTTTCACACCTTACAATTTAGTGAGTTAGCAAAAACATCAGTTCAAAATGTTGAACTAAATGACAACTAGGAGATTGGTTTCTGTTCTCAAGTTATAAGTAGTTCCTATTTTCTACCTGAAGCATTAGAAAAAAGCTTACTTCAAGTGAGTAAAAAATACTCATATTGTGAAGCAATTTGGACTTCAGAAGTTTTATCACCACTGGATTGAGACATTGGGGATAAGCCATACAAATATGTTGCTAAACTAATAAAATCTTGAAGATTTAGAAATATATAGATTTCTTTAATTCTTATGTTTTAAAGTTTATGTTTGGAACTATTTAATAAAAAAGCAACATTAGGAAAAAATTTTTTTCTAATGAAAGCAGATAAAGTGGGAGCTGGTCAGAAATCTGTTCAATTCAGGCCTTTTGCAACCTCATCAAAAGTCAAATTATTTTACAATGAATAGTTTTGAATTATTATATTTCTTGCAAGGTGATTTTCTCTCTCTTGTTAGGAAGAGTGACTTCCATTCTTAACAAAGTAACGGGAAAAGAAGAGGTAAGAAAACGTCAACAGGCTAAAATTGTATGATCTATAATGGTGTTTCAGCGTAAATTTGGAAACATTGGCTAGGAGCAGCTGAAGTCCAAAACTCATGATGATCACGTTGATTTGAGTTTTCCCTAAGCCTGTTCCATAACAGGCTTTCATGTTTACCGTAGACATAAATTCACTGTGGTTCTTAAGTAAGGGCTATGTTTGAAAGAAGTGACTAGAATGCCAGGATTTTCTCTCAAGATTACCCCTTCAAGGAAAGCTCCGTGCAACTTTCCTTCCCAGGGCTGCGCACACAAAATTTCAGGAAACAGCAGGTCTTAATTAGGCCTCCAGTTTATAGTTTCACCTGAAAAAATACATTTAAAAAAATCATATATATTCGGCTGTCTAGATTTTTCACGTCAATAAATTCTTGCTAATTAATCACATTAACGGTGCTCCTTAAAAGTTGAAACAGAATCAGAAAACAAACCAAATTCCCCATAAATATCCAACATAAAGACCTATTCACTGATGCATTTTCAGTTTCTAAGAATTTTACAAGTGTTTTTTTCTCCCTAACAGGACACACACATACACACACACACACACACACACAAAATATCACTATCTGTAGCTCTCATTCTCTGAAGAGGAAAACAATTCTGGTGGCAAATTTTAATACTTCAGAATGATGTCACTGTGTGAGTACTTTCCTGCTTAGTGCCCATGCGCATAACTGTTTTAAGGGATTAGAGCCTAGAAACCCTGAGCAGCAACATGTCATGTCATCTCAGATCCTCCCAACTCCCCACAAAAGGGAAAAACTAACAATGTGGGAGTGAAGAAAAGAAGGTAAACTGGGAAGGCAGGAGCTAAAGGGACGAATGGACTTCCTCCTGTTTGTGTACCATTGCATTCTTCAAAAGAGCCATCATTCTTGATATAAATTCACTGCACTAATATTCTATTAGAAGCTTTGGTCTGCTGTGGCACCTGCTGTATAAAAGCAGGATTACTTAAATCCTCTTCAGAAACATAAATAAATAGATTTAAAATCTCACTTCCCTCTGTGGTATGTTTCCTGAGAATAGTGCTACTGCTGTTCATTAAGAAAATAACGTTTCAAACTCGTAACCTTAGCTTCCCAAATTTCTTGGGTGTGTGTTTATCAAAATGTACTTGAGTGTGTTTGCTGCAATTTGAAATCTTATTTGTTACTACTCTGTGAGTAGCAGCTAGCCATTTCTTCAACAGGATTTCTGAATGGGATGGATCTTTTAGGAGAGAAAAGATCAGTTACTAATTTTGATAAGTAATTAACTTTAAGTCAGTGAAATGAGAGAATTCCATTTTCAGATGAATAGACTTTAATTTCTATTACAACTTTCATGTATTATTATCTATGTCTATTTTTAGGGGAAAACGTCTATAAGAATTTTTGCTATAATCCATTCCCACAACCACAAGTAGTTGATCACAGCGGAATTATGGCATTTTATAAGATCTCTATTCAGAGATTTTTAGGAGTACAGATTTGAGCTGGCTTCATGCTGTATGGACAAAGAGAAAATTAACCATATATTAATTATAAATACTTCCCTTTGGATTTTTTTATGAAGCTTGGTTTTTCTTTGGTGGGAAGTTTTTTATTTATTATTTCTTCCTCCTCCCCTCCTAGCATTTTGGTCTCATATTCTAGGCTCTATATTGCCAGCAATTTAAGGAAGAATGGTAAAAAGTAGTATATTATGTTGAAAGAGTACTTGACCTTGTCCCAGCTAAGCCTCTAGTTGATTGTTTAATTGGGGCAAAACCTCTCACCTCTGTTTCTTCACCTATAAATTAAAGAGACTCAATCGTTTGTTCACTCAACAAACTTTTAGTGAGTGTCAATTGTTGGCAAAGCACTGGGTTATGTGCTGTTGATATAAAAATTTGTAACCGAGTCACTGGCTCTTGAGAGTCTTGTAGCATTGTATGAGGAGATATGTCAAAGATTAGAATGTAGAAAATACAGATAGATAAACAGTCATGCATGACTTAACAAAGGGGATACATTCTGAGATATGTGTCATTAGAAGTTTCATTATTGTACAAATATGGGAGAGTATAATTAAACACAAACCTAGATGGTATGGCCTACTACACAACTTGGCTATATGGTATAAGCCTACCGCTCCTGGGCTACAAGCCTGTACAGCATGTGACTTTACTGAGTCTGTAAGCAATTGTAACAAAATGGCAAGTATGTGTGTATCTAAACATATCTAAACAGAGAAAAGCTAAGAGTAAAAAATACAGTATTATGATTTATGAAACTACTGTTGTAGATGCAGTCTGTCATCAACCACACATGGTGCATGATTATATTTCCCTTTATTGGTCAAGATAATTGGAGTATGCCACTCCACTATTCACCACATGAAAAGAAGTAGAAAAGAAGGAAAATATTATGTAAAGAAGTTCACAGCAGTTTCAGGAAAAAGAACAAGAGTTGAGAGAAGGAAACAGAGAGAGATAGAAGCCACAAGGTACCATTGCTCTTCTCCCATTTTTTCATTGAAACCCAAGGTGAGGAACAGATGTAGAATAAAAAGGACAGGTTAGTTGTAAATTCAAAAGCAGGGACAGAATGGAGTTGTGTCCTATTTCCAGTTTGGGATTCTGGTTGGAGGTAGCCTGGTGGAGCACCCTTTGTTACAAGAAGCGGACGCAGCAAGTGTAGAAACTGGATAGCGTGAGGGAGAGGCAGGGAAGAAAGTATTCCTCTTCCTTTCCTTCAGTTCTCTCACACCTGTTGATAGCACTGAAGAGATTCAGAATTTCTCACATGTCCCCAGTGATACCGAAGGTTGAGAGTCAGCAGGTTTGTAATGGGGCTGCAGTAGTGAAGGGAGCAAAGAACCCCTACCAGAAGTGGAAGAGAGGGCAGACTTGGTCAGGGTTCAGACGGAGCCCAGGGGTGAAGCTTAGATGATCTGAAGAGAGAAATGAGGTTGGGCTGAGGTGCAGGATGTGAACTGCTGGACTATGGCTGGACTGAGGGAAGAAATTAGCATGATACTAGTTGTAAAACTTCACAAGCAGATGCAGAGATGATAGCGACCAACATGAACACAGGTAAAGTGAGTTTACCTCAGCCAAGAGCCAATGGGAGCCAGAGAGGAGCATGGGGCTGGTTTAACCCCTGGGGTCCTGCCACAATACCATAAGGATATATAAGTGTCTTCTTGTACACACATATTTTCTAGGAAATCTTTCACTCAGGTGAGATAGCTTAATGAGGAATTTCAACTTTACATTGACTTACCCTTTGCCAAAAATGGTAGGAATTAACCTAAAAGGAGATGTTTTAAAATGTAAGAGATTGAGCCACTCTGTAGTGACAGATTTAGGTCTTCTTTCATCTCAAAGTTCATTACCATGAGGGCTTAGAACAAAATGAAGATGTGATATGGATCATATGCACTCTTTTTATACATCTGTATTATAATGTTTATGATACAGAAGTGTCCTATTTTATGATGAAATAATCCTAGCTTATCTTTCATGATGTATCTATTTCTTCAGGCACTGTCCCATCCATTATTTTATTTTCTTTTATCTGAGTAGGTATGAGATGTTGGCAGGGTAAGTATCATTGCCTCCGTTTTCTAGGTTAGAAATCTGAAGCTCAGTGAGGTTAGCTTGTACCTCTTCATCTATAAAAAGGAGACAATATTTACTCAGCCAAAGTATGGTTTTTGTGAGGATCAAATAGGAAAGAAAAGCTGCTAGGGAGCTCTATTTACTGTGCCCTTAAGAACATCTAAAAGCAGAAAAAACAAGATGATACGTAGTCAAAATGACAGCAATGCAAATAATGCTATCAAATTGCAGATACATGTTTTACCTAGCAAGGGTATTCCTACAAATGTTTCAGTAAGTCCAGTTCATACATGAAATGAACTGGATGAAACAGCGAAGCATTGCCAGCGGATTTAAAGAGTAGATCTTTTCTTGTGATATCATAAACAGAGCAGTGATTTAGAGTACTCTATTTAAGTTTTATCTTCAGCACTTAGTAGGGCATTGTTTTATAGGAGATATTAAATGCTTTTTTTGCAAGTCCAAATTTATCATATTATTCAGCTATCTTAAATCTATGAGAGATATGATAGTTATATACTTCTTAAAGATTACAATTTAATTTATACTCAATTTCTGTGAAATAATAGAAATGTGATACTAAAATAATCTTCAGATCTGGATCATTGGTAGAAAGTCAAGACCACCTCTGGGCACTTCTCTCTTAGGTTAAGCTTCTCATGGCACAAGGAATGAAGTGGCCTCTGCATCTTGGCCAGCATGGCTGTAGGAGGTCTAATTCCTGCTGACTTCTTCAATTTAATTTCACATCATTTCTCCTTCACCCACTTCATGCTAGTCACAGGGCCCATCTTTCAGTTTCTCATTTTCCTGAGGTCTTTGCATATAGTCTTCCTTCCGCAAGAAAGCTCTTTCCCTTCCAGGATTTTTGTCTTCTTCTCATTCATTAGGATCCCCTTGCCTTCTTTAATTATTCCATCCATACACAACCCCATGTTATTCTCTATTTCATCATGCTCTTCTTTTTATTTCACTTCCTATTTTGCAATGATGTGTTTGATGATTATTTATTGTCATCCTCTCACTGAGTTAAAGGCAGATGCTTCGTTTTGCTCACCATTGCACAACCAGTCACTCCCTGGGTCTGAGTAAACAACTGTTAAATGAATAGAAAAATTAATTAATAATCCAGGTATGTAAAGTCCTTAGTCAAGTGTATGCCACATGACAATAAAAACTTAAAAAATTAAAGCTTAATAAAACTTAAACAATAAAAGCTTAATAAAACCTATTTTTATTACCACAGTATTGATGGCCTCAAGTCATTATTGCTAAATATGTATATAAATGTATGGGGAATATCTAAAGAATGGTGAGAAGTTTGGGCATTTTCTACATGATTATCATATATATTCTTAGGCTGATTCAAATTATTCACAATTTAACGTAAATCCCCAAATAAACATGCAAAAGAATAATAAATATATGAAAAGATATTAAAACCAACTGAAAAATATGGAAACAACAATGAGATGTCATTTTTCAACTATAAGATTGGCAAAGACAGAAAACGTTGATACTATTTTGTATTGGCAAGTATATGGAAAAATGGACCCTCATGGATATTTCTGAAGGGCAAATGAGATAATACATAATGAAGTTTCAAATATGCGTGCATACCTGGGACCAGAATTTCAGTCCCAGGAAATTACACTATAAAAAAAGGACAAGATTTAAAAATTTGTATATAAGAATATTTAATCCAGGATTTTCATAATACAAAAAATTTAGAACTTTATAATAAATACTTTATTATAATGCAGAAAATTTGGGAATAACTGTATTATAAATAATGTTGTATTTATAACTGCTAAGCATAAACTGATACAACAAGCTTAGAAAACAATTTGACATTATCTTAAAAGTTTAACCTGACCATGTCCTGTAGCCAAAAAATTCCAATCTTTAGGTATATATTTTAGAGAAACTTGTACATGACCTACAAGAGACATACAAGAATGTTCTTAGCAACATTGTAATACCAAAACTGTTTGAGATGTACCACTTTCAGCATTGTTTAAAGCATTTTAAAATTTCTATTTTTTTTTTTTCTTGGATCCATGTATTATGATTAGAGAACATAATTTGCATGATATTTATGCTTACATGATGTTGACATTTGCTTTAAGCCCTGGCACATGGTTGATTTTGTAAATGTTCTGTGCATTCTAGATAATGTTTATTCTTCATTTGTTAGGTACAGAATTCTATTAACATATCAAATTTATTATATTCACATATTTTAAATATAGATCACTTAGAAATTTATTTAGCTATGTGTAAGTTTTTCCTTCTCCCTGCAAGAAAAATCTCTTTCCTCTTTCTCTCTTTTTTTCTCCTTCCCTGTACCCAATAGCTTCAATATTTAATGTCCTAATTGAAAGCATCTAATTCCATTTTGACGGCTTTTGTCAGCTCCATTGAAATAGTTTTATTGGGCTTGTGTTTTGTAATTGTGAGCTGTGAGCTCATCTTCCTCTGAACCCTACATCTGGCAATTCCCTGAGGCCTAGGTATGTCTCTCTAAAGAGTTCCTTTTTGTTTTTTGTTAGGCACCCTTAAATTTGGGTATGATTTTAAATTTATCAGCCTGGGGTTTCTCAGATCATGTACATTGTATAAATTTGAGGCCAGGTGCAGTGGCTCATGTCTATAATCCCAGCACTTTGGGAGGCCAAGGTGGGTGGATCTTTTGAGGTCAGGAGTTCGAGACCAGCCTGGCCAACATGGTGAAGCCCTGCCTATACTAAAAATACAAAAATTATCAGGGCATGGTGGTGGGTGCCTGTAGTTCCAGCTAATCGGGAGGCTGAGGCAGGAGAATCTCTTGATGGTGGAGGTTGCAGTGAGCCGAGATTGTGCCACTGCACTCCAGCCCGGGTGACAGAGCGAGACTCTGTCTAAAAAAAAAAAAAAAGAATTTAAATATATTGAATTTGAATTATATAAATTGAAATTTGAACCCCACACCTGTGTACCAGCTGACTTTAGTTGCAAGTTCTCAGAGGAGATTTTTTTCCTACCCAGTTTTCAGGGGGAACCAAAATGTAACCTTATAGTTCCCTTTGCTTTTTGATAGATTTTTCTAATCCCCTTTTTACTGATGAGGTACTTTTCCTGATCCTGAATTTATGCAGGGGGTTTAGTTCCAACTCCTGTATTTCATAGGCCCAAGGCCATGTCTCCAGTCTCTAGCACTTCATTTTATCTTAAAACCTAAACCTTCAAACTCAGGTATTTACAAAACTCTGATATCCACTACACCATTGGTCTCAGCTTACCTCTTTGGTTCCTATCTCCTTCCTAGCCTTGAGTCTTTGAGTATTTTGTATTTTGTCAGCTTTATTATGCATTTTTAAAGGGTCTGCACTAACACATTTGCTTCATGGTGCTGCTGTGAAATTAAATGAAATAATACACATACAATATTTGCTTACTGCCTGAATTATATGCAAATCTAGAGGCTTGGGTTTTAAAAACACTGGACTGAAAAAAAAAAGGAAAAAAGCATTTGGTGTGTCCTACTAGTGACAAGAAATGGTCTAAGGTTTCTATTCTACTCCCTTGAAAAGTCATCTTATACTCTCCTGCATATTGAGTGCACAATAGACATTCAATTAGATGAAAAGAATTATCTCCCTGATTTTTCTATATGTTCATGGTTTTATACAGAATCAGTTGTAAATAGGTATGTAGAAATATCAGGTAAAGAGTTTCATTTCCTGATAGTCCATGGACTTTGGAAACCTTTGTAAGAAAGAGACTTTCACGAACAATAGGGATATTTCTTTGCCCCTTCTTTTTTCAATCTAATTTTCTTTCCATTGAAAGCAGCTGTGTTTTTCTCACTCTGACAATTCAGAAATCAGGATAACTCATTCTTCATAAATGCTTTAGAATATTCTGGCAGAAGCTGCTTCTGACAGTTGGCTGCTAAATGTTCAATGGTGCTTGATTATACAGAAGGTTAAAAAGACCAGTGTGATTATTTCTTTCTCTGTAAAACTGTCCCTTGTCTTATTACAAAACCGCTAATTCTCCCAGCAACCAGAGATTGTCTAAATAAACTGGAGCAGACGCAGAATTATATAACAAGGGCAAATTATTTTTTTTTCCTGGAGAGGGGGTGACATAAAAAAAACAGGTTTATTAAGATATCATTCTTAAGCTACACAAGTCATACGCTTGAAGTGTACAACACAGTGGTTTTTAGTATAGTCACAGATATGTGATGTCACTATCCCCACAGTCAATTTGTAGAACATTTTCATCACCTCAATAAGAAACTGTACACTTTAATAATCACCCCTGCTATGGTTTGAATGTGTCTCCTCCAAAATTCAGGTATTGTCAATGTGATAGTATTAAGAGGTGATCATGCCATGAAGGCTCCTCCCTCATGAATGGGATTAGGTGCTCCTACAAAAGGGCTTGATGGAGGGAGTTCATCCCTTTTTGCCCTTCCACCTTCTACCATGTTAGAACATGGTGTTTCTCCCTTCCAAAGGATGAAATATTCAAGGCATCATCTTGCAGATGATGCCTTGTAGAGACTGACCCCTCACCAGAAAATAAACCAAGTGGTGTTTTGATCTTGAACTTCCCAGACTGAAGAACTATGAGAAATCAATTTATGTTCTTTATAAATTATCCAGAATCAGATATTTTGTTATAGCAACACAGACACAGACAACCACCTACCTCGTACTCCTCTCACTCTAGCCCTAAGCAGCCACTAATCTACTTTCTGTCTCTATAGATTTCTAGGGTTTGGACTTTCATGTGAATGTAATTATATAATATGTTGTCTTTTGTGATTGGCTTCTTTTGTTTAACATAATGTTTTCAAGGTTCATTCATGTTGTAGCATTTATCAGTACTTCGTTCCTGTTTATGGCCAAATAATATTCCATTTTGTGAATATACCACATTTTACTCATCCATTCATCAGTTGATGGATATTTGGGTTGTTTCTACCTTTTGACTGTTGTGAATGATGCTGCTGTAAACATTCGTATACTAGTTTTTGTGTGGCCATATTTCATTTCTCTTGGGGATATATCTAGAAGTGCAATAGCTGGGTCTTTTTGTAACTGCATGTTTAATGATTTGAGCAGTTAATCACCAGACTATTTTCCAAAGTGGCAGTACCATTTTACATTTCCATCAGTAGCATGTGAAGTTTCCAATTTCTCCGTGTCCTTGCCAACACTTATTATTATTGTACTTTTAAAATTCTAACCATCCCTAGTGGTTGTGAAGTAGTATCTCATTGTGCTTTTGATTAGCATCATCCTGATAACTAATGATTTTGAGTATCTTTTCACGTGATTGTTGGTCATTTGTAAATCTTATTTGGGGACATGTCTATTCAGATCCTATACCCATTTTTTAATTGGAAAAAATTTTCTAATAATTTTTAATTGATGATTTTTAATAAAACCTAACAAACAACATGTATATCATATTTAATAATCTCTTTAAGAAACTTCCTTGAATAAAAAAGAATAAAAAGTATCTGAAATTGGAACTTTTGTAAAACTCAGGTCATTACATAGATCATTCAACAAAAACAACTTAATGATTATACATTGCTGGTTACCTTTTTCCTCTATTTTAGTGTTCCTCAAGGTCTCCTCCAGTAGGATCTGCATAACTTAATAAACATTATTTCTTTAGATATTGTATTTGACTGCCACATTTTTTTTCTTGCAAATTATCACTCTAGTTGGGGGGTGTCTTTTCAGGTTTTCACTTATCTATTCTCCTGTCAGCTGTTTAAGAATAACTCAGAGGTAATGAGAAAGGTGTTTCAGTTTTTTTCAAGCAGTATTTCAGCCCTCTGGCCAGAAATTTTCTTGCCTTACTATTGACAGAAGCCTATTAACCTATGGTAACCAGAGGCCATTGATGTCTAACACTGGGTCTCTGTGATTCTAATCCCACGTGGGTAAAATAGAGCAATCTTTCTCATATCCCATAATGGTAAGTGCTGCCATTGATCTTACCCATTTCATTTCTATGTGAATGGTAATCATAAGCCTTGGAATTTTTGGTAAAGTTTTAATTTCAAGAAGTTGATCATTTCTTAAATGTATAAGTGAGACAGTTTGCATAATGTTTAAAAACCTTCATATAAATAAATTCATAATTTTAAAAACTCCCTCTTTTTTTTCTGACCTTGTATCTTGATTGGTGTCTCTGAATATGTAAACTATCTTAGGAAAAACACTAAAAACCCAAGTCAAAATTGTGGCTTGTGGGGGCCCTTAGTAAATTAACTCCTTATCTACTTGTTTAAACTGATATTCTATGAAAATAAGTTTCATATTTACTTAAAGTCTAATGAAAAGCTGGTTTTCAATTAGTGAAAATTATACACAATAGGGTAGTTTTAACAAGTATTTTAAGAATACATTTGAGATGATGTATGATGAAGATTAATTGGAACATCAGTTATAATGTCAAAGCTTATAAACAACTAAAATGTACATCAGTGAGAGTTAATATATTAATTATCATTCTACCACACAATGCAATGCCTTATAAACCATTTAAAAAATATGAAATTCTGTATTTGTGATATGGAAAGTTTTCCAAGATGTTTTAAGGGAAAAAAATTACAAGGTGCAGAACAACATATATAGCATTTTCCCATTTATGTGGAATAATATTTCTGTGGATAATTTTAGAAATGAATGGAATATCTCCTGAAGTTTATGAAAACTGGTTGTCTTTGAGGAGTGGAATGGTTTTTGAGGCACAGGGGAAAATGAGAGATTTTTCATTGTACGCCATATAGTGCATTTCTATCTTATATCATGTACATTAATCCTACTTAATATTCACAAATATTATAAATAAATGAAGCAAAATAAGGAATTTATCACATATTTTGTTACATGCTGTTTCCCATCATAATACAACTTATTGGGAGGCATTCTAATTCCTAAAATTTAGGTAATCACAAATAACTTTTTCCTTGTAAAATGGGCTTGACATCCATGATTACTTTTCAGAAATTCTGCTGAAACTGCTGACTTTGTATGACTATATGCTAGCTGACTTCAGAGAGTTTGGCGCTCTTGATCAAGAGCATATCTGCAAGGGCTTTAAAAAAATCTATTTCCATTCAATATAATTTCTATTTCTCTGGTTATTTTAGAAGTTGAATGAGAAAGCCTTTATTAACTGCCACCATATCCCTGATTTATTCCAGTAATGTCCAGTAATGTTTATTGACCTTTCAGAGTGGAGCACTTGGAACTTGCCCATCTGAGTTGCTTCTTAATCCTACTGTGGTTTCACACCAATGTAAGAGTTTTGCTAATGTTATATTACTTAAAACCAAATAGAAAATAAAATAAGAGTTTAAAACCTTATTTCAATTTTATCCCAGACAGAAGTTTGGACATTTGGGACCCCTTAATGATGGTGACAACTCTTTAAATCTATTGTTAAGATGTGAACATTTGAACTCTCATTAAAGATAGAATTTAAATGAAAAGAGAAAAAGAACTAAAGTAGCAAAAGAGATGTTAAGAGAATTTATAAAAGGAAAGATATAGAGTTATTTCTTCAAATCTTCAAAATTTTGGTTTAGTGATATTATGCTCTTTCCAATTTAATTTCATTTTATTTGAATAATGCCTGTTATGAGTGTTGTTTATGATGATGATAAAAATGATCTATAGTATAGAAAACACTCCATTATGTAGCTCTTATGACCAGACATTTTCCATTAAGTTTTAGATATATTATTTCTTCTTTTCTTTATGTATACTTTATTTATTTTTGAGTGCATATGGAAAATATAATCATTTTGCTTTGCTACAAATAAAATCTGATTTCTTCTGATTTTACATATAGTTTGTGTATGAATTACATGAGAAAACTTCATTAAAACAACCTGACCTTACTAGCGAATGTCCTTTTATACCACTTTTGCCAGAAAATGGAGCCAAATTACTGAAACACCTCTAAAATTTTGAAAAGCAAACAGAAGTTTAATTGGGAAAATTATGCCAATTCATTGTTATTTAATATTTTAGCAAGGGATTTTTTTCCAGTAATATCAATGAATCTTATACTCTAAAAGCTGCAATATAATCCATTTAACTTACAAAAACCTGGCTCTATAGTCCACCTATGAAGAGTGGAAAAGGGAAGAGTAATTTCAAGTGGATAAATCTAACAAGCAATAACTCAATCAGACGACAAAGGTCAACATCAACCATGATAAGTAAATGACACCTTGTACAGCTGGGTACCCCTCTGAAAGGAAGCTTCCAGAGGAAGGATCAGGCAGCGATATTTGTTGTTCTGCAATATTTGCTGTTCTGCAGCCTTTGCTGGTGATACCCAGGCAAACAGGGTCTGGAGTGGAACTCCAGCAAACTCCAACAGATCTGCAGCTGAGGGTCCTGACTGTTAGAAGGAAAACTAACAAACAGAAAGGAATAGTATCAACATCAACAAAAAGGACATCCACACCAAAACTCCATCTGTAGGTCATCATCATCAAAGAGCAAATGTAGATAAAACCACAAAGATGGGGAGAAACCAGAGCAGAAAAGCTGAAAATTCTAAAAACCAGAGTGCCTCTTCTCCTCCAAAGGAGCACAGCTCCTCACCAGAAATGGAACAAAGCTGGATGGAGAATGACTTTGATGAATTGACAGAAGTAGGCTTCAGAAGGTCGATAATAACAAACTTCTCCAAGCTAAAGAAGGATATTTGAACCCATTGCAAGGAAGCTAAAAACCTTGAAAAAAGATTAGACAAATAGCTAACTAGAATAAACAGCATAGAGAAGACCTCAAATGACCTGAGGGAGCTGAAAACCATGGCACGAGAACTTTGTGTTACATGCACAAGCTTCAGTAGCCGATTCGATCAAGTGGAAGGAAAGGTATCAGTGATTGAAGATCAAATAAATGAGATGAAGCTAGAAGAAAAGTTTAGAGAAAAAAAAGTAAAAAGAAATGAACAAAGTCTCCAAGAAATATGGGACTATGTGAAAAGACCAAATCTATGTTTGACTGGTGTACCTGAAAGTGACAGGAAGAATGGAACCGAGCTGGAAAACACTCTTCAGGATATTATCCAGGAGAACTTCCCCAACCTAGCAAGGCAGGCCAACATTCAAATTCAGGAAATACAGAGAACACTAACAAGATACTCCTTGAGAATAGCAACCCCAAGTCACATAATTGTCAGATTCACCAAGGTTGAAATGAAGGAAAAAGTGTTAAAGGCAGCCAGAGAGAAAGGTCAGGTTACCCACAAAGGGAAGCCGATCAGACAAACAGCAGATCTCTTGGCGGAAACTCTACAAGCCAGAAGAGAGTGGCGGCCAATATTCAACATTCTTAAAGAAAAGAATTTTCAACCCAGAATTTCATATCCAGTCAAACTGAGCTTCATAAGTGAAGGAGAAATAAAATCCTTTATGGGCAAGCAAATGCTGAGAGATTTTGTCACCACCAGGCCTGTCTTACAAGAGCTCCTGAAGGAAGCACTAAACATGGAAAGGAACAACCAGTACCAGCCACTGCAAAAGCATGCCAAATCATAAAGACCATCAATGCTATGAAGAAACTGCATCAACTAAAGGGCAAAATAACCAGCTAACATCATAATGACAGGATCAAATTCACACATAACAATATTAAACTTAAATGTAAATGGGCTAAATGCCCCAATTAAAAGACATAGACTGGCAAATTGGATAAAGAATCAAGACCCCTCAGTGTGCTATATTCAGGAGACCCATCTCATGTGCAGAGACACACATAGGCTTAAAATAAGGAGAGGCAGGAAGATCTTCCAAGACAATAGAAAGCGAAAAAAAGCAGGGGTTGTGATCCTAGTCTCTGATAAAAAAGACTTTAAACCAACAAAGATCAAAAGAGACAAAGAAGGCCATTACATAATGGTAAAGGGATCAATTCAACAAGAAGAGCTAACTATCCTAAATATATATGCACCCAATACAGGAGCACCCAGATTCATAAAGCAAGTCCTTAGAGACCTACAAAGAGACTTAGACTCCCACACAATAATAACTGGAGACTTTAACACCCCAGTGTCAATATTAGACAGATCAACAAGACAGAAGGTTAACAAAGATGTCTAGGACTTGAACTCACCTCTGCACCAAGCAGACCTAATAGACATCTACAGAACTCTCCACCCCTAATCAACAGAATATATATTCTTCTCAGCACCACATTGCACTTATTCTAAAGTTGACCACATAGTTGGAATTAAAGCACTCCTCAGCAAATGTAAAAGAACAGATATCACAACAAACTGTCTCTCAGACCACAGTGCAATCAAATAAGAACTCAGGATTAAGAAACTCACTCAAAACTGCACAACTACATGGAAACTGAACAACCTGCTCCTAAATGACTACTGGGTAAATAATGAAATGAAGGCAGAAACAAAAATGTTATTTGAAACCAAGGAGAACAAAGACACAATGTACCAAATCTCTGGGACACATTTAAAGCAGTGTGTAGAGGGAAATTTATAGCACTAAATTCCCACAAGAGAAAGCAGAAAAGATCTAAAATCAACACCCTAACATCACAATTAAAAGAACTAGAGAAGCAACAGCAAACAAATTAACAAGCTAGCAGAAGGCAAGAAATAACTAAGATCAGAGCAGAACTGAAGGACATAGACACATCAAAACCCTTCAAAAAATCAATGAATTCAGGAGCTGGTGTTTTGAAAAGATCAATAAAATTGATAGACTGCTAGCAAGACTAATAAAGAAGAAAAGAGAGAAGAATCAAATAGACACAATAAAAAATGATAAAGGGGATATAACCACGGATCCTACAGAAATAGAAACT
Source organism: Homo sapiens (assembly GCF_000001405.40). Taxonomy (NCBI): domain Eukaryota; kingdom Metazoa; phylum Chordata; class Mammalia; order Primates; family Hominidae; genus Homo; species Homo sapiens. The sequence goes on from NC_000013.11 coordinate 79,953,672, forward strand.
ACCATCAGAGAATACTATAAATATCTCTATACAAATAATCTAGAAAATTTAGAAGAAATGGACAAATTCCTGGACATATACACCCTCCCAAGACTAAACCAGGAAGAAGTTGAATCCCTGAATGGACCAATAACAGGTTCTGTAATTGAGGCAATAATTAATAGCCTATTAACCAAAAAAAGTCCAAGACTAGACGGATTCACAGCCGAATTCTACCGGAGGTACAAAGAGGAGCTGGTACCATTCCTTCTGAAACCATTCCAATCAATAGAAAAAGAAGGAATCCTCCCTAATTCATTTTATGAGGCCAGCATCATCCTGATACCAAAGCCTGGCAGAGACACAACAAAAAAAGAGAATTTTAGACCAATATCCCTGATGAACATTGATGCAAAAATCCTCAATAAAATACTGGCAAACTGAATCCAGCAGCACATAAAAAAGCTTGTCCACCACGATCAAGTTGGCTTCATCCCTGGGATGCAAGGCTGGTTCAACATATGCAAATCAATAAATGTAATCCATCACATAAACAGAACCAAAGACAAAAACCACATGATTATCTCAATAGATGTAGAAAAGGCCTTCAACAAAATTCAACAACCCTTCCTGCTAAAAACTCTCAATAAACTAGGCATTGATGGAACATATCTCAAAATAATAAGAGCTATTTATGACAAACCCACAGCCAATATCTTACTGAATGGACAAAAACTGGAAGCATTCCCTTTGAAAACTGGCACAAGACAGGGATGCCCTCTCTCACCACTCCTATTCAACATAATAGGAAGTTCTGGCCAGGGCAGTCAGTCAAGAGAAAGAAATAAAGAGTATTCAATCAGGAAAAGAAGAAGTCAAATTGTCCCTGTTTGCAGATGACATGATTGTATATTTAGAAAACCCCACTGTCTCAGCCCCAAATCTCCTTAAGCTGATAGGAAACTTCAGCAAAGTCTCAGGATACAAAATCAATGTGCATAAGTCACAAGCCTTCCTATTCACCAATAACAGAGAGCCAAATCATGAGTGAACTCCCATTCATAATTGCTACAAAGAGAGTAAAATACCGAGGAATCCAGCTTACAAGGGATGTGAAGGACCTCTTCAGGGAGAACTACAAACCACTGCTCAACACAATAAAAGAGGACACAAATAAATGGAAGAACATTCCATGCTCATGGATAGGAAGAATCAATATCGTGAAAATGCTCATACTGCCCAAGATAATTTATAGATTCAATGCCATCCCCATCAAGATACCTATGACTTTCTTCACAGAATTGGAAAAAACTACTTTAAAATTCATATGGAATCAAAAAAGAACCTGCATTGCCAAGACAATCCTAAGTAAAAAGGACAAAGCTGGAGGCATCACGTTACCAGACTTCAAACTATACTATAAGGCTACAGTAACCAAAACAGCATGGTACTGGTACCAAAACAGAGACCAGTGGAACAGAACAGAGGCCTCAGAAATAACACCACACATCTACAACCATGTGATCTTTGACAAACCTGACAAAAACAAGAAATGGGGAAAGGATTCCCTATTTAATAAATGGTTCTGGGAAAACTGGCTAGCCATATGTAGAAAGCTGAAATTGGATCCCTTCTTTACACCTTATACAAAAATTAATTCAAGATGGATTAAATACTTAAATGTTAGACCTAAAACCATAAAAACCCTAGAAGAAAACCTAGGCAATACCATTCAGGACATAGGCATGGGCAAGGACTTCCTGACTAAAATACCAAAAGCAATGGCAACAAAAGCCAAAATAGGCAGATGGGATCTAATTAAACTAAAGAGCTTCTGCACAGCAAAAGAAACTATCATCAGAGTGAACAGGCAACCTACCAAATGGGAGAAAATTTTTGCAATCTACCCATCTGACAAAGGGCTAATATCCAGAATCTACAAAGAACTTAAACAAATTTACAAGAAAAAAATCAAACATCAAAAAGTGGCAAAGGATATGAACAGATACTTTTCAAAAGAAGACATTTATGCAGCCAACAGACACATGAAAAAATGCTCATCATCACTGGCCATCAGAGAAATGCAAACCAAAAGCACAATGAGATACCATCCTACACTAATTAGAATGATGATCATTAAAAAGTCAGGAAACAACGGGTGCTAGAGAGGATGTGGAGAAACAGGAATGCTTTCACACTGTTGGTGGGAGTGTAAACTAGTTCAACCATTGTGGAAGACAGTGCGGCGATTCCTCAAGGATCTAGAACTAGAAATACCATTTGACCCAGCGATCCCATTACTGGGTATACATCCAAAGGATTATAAATCATGCTACTATAAAGACACATGCACACGTATGTTTATTGTGGCACTACTCACAATAGCAAAGACTTGGAACAAACCCAAATGTCCATCAATGATAGACTGGATTAAGAAAATGTGGCACATATATACCTTGGAATACTATGCAGCCATAAAAAAGATGAGTTCATGTCCTTTGTAGGGATGTGGATGAAGCTGGAAACCATCATTTTGAGCAAACTATCACAAGGACAGAAAACCAAACACTGCATGTTCTCACTCATAGGTGGGAATTGAACAATGGGAACACTTGGACACAGAGTGGGGAGCATCACACACTGGGGCCTGTCGTGGGGTGGCAGGATGGGGGAGGGATTGCATTAGGAGAAATATCTAATGTAAATGATGAGTTATTGAGTGCAGCAAACCAACATGGCACATGTATACATATGTAACAAACCTGCATGTTGTGCACATGTACCCTAGAACTTAAAGTATAATAATAAAAAAAAGATGATCCACGATGATCCACTTCCACTTATTGAATAGTGAATATATTTTCTCTTCCTTATGATTTTATTAATAACATTTCCTTTTTTTCTAGTTTATTTTACCCTAAGAATACAGTAAATAACACATACACAAAATATGTATTAATCAACTGTTCATGTTATTGGTAGAGCTTCAGGTTAACTGTAGGCTCTTTGTAATTAAGGTTTGGGGGAGTAAAAATTATACTCAGATTTTTGACCACACAGGTGATTGGCATCCCTAACCTTTATGTTGTTCCAGGGTCAACTCTACATATAATGAAGTATCCTGAATGGAATCCTGAAACAAAAAGGAAAAAACACATAAACAAAAAAACATTGTTTACTTTACTAAGGAAATTTATGTAAAACATAAACATTAATAAAAATGTATTAGTATTGATTTGTTAATTATAATGTGTCATACTGATGTAAGATGATAATAAGGGAAACTGAGTGTAGGAGATATAGGAATTCTCTGTACTATTTTCTCAATATTTCTAAATACTAGAACCTTTCTAAAAAAATGTTTGTTTTAAAAAATAGTTCACCAACACTTTAACAAATAATGTATTTCTGACATCTAGCAGGAAAAAATGAGTACTACTGACAGACCCTGTTGATATGAGCTTAATACATGGTGTAATAAAGGGCATTTAATATTACTGTTTTTCAGTTGGGATAAATAATAGGAAAAAATTAATAATATGAGTGTTCATAGACCTCTTTCTTCTTCCTCCAAATCCAATACCCCATGGAAGAAAAGACAAAGGATAAAAGTTTGTGCAGGCCAATTCTCACTACAGAGGAAGTCAGAGCTGGAGAACAGGGCTGTCCAGGACCTGTTCATGGTGGGAATGGTGTGTGCATGCAGCTGCACGTGTGTATGTGTGTGTGTGTGTGTGTGTGTGTGTGTGTTAGGGGTGTTGAGTAGGACCAATTGAAAGGTGTTCTATAGCAAAAGGCAGCACAGAGAAAACTTGAGAGATCAGAATGGTAAGAAGGAGAAATTGAGCTCTGTAGGTGAAGGAGAGTGAGTAGTTCCCAGGAATTTCAGACATCTGAATAAATTAGAATTTTTAAAAATCTATTGACTCAGGGGTGGCTGGCAAGATGACTGAATAGGAACAGCTCCAGTCTGCAGCTCCCAGTGAGATCAATGCAGAAAGTGGGTGATTTCTGCATTTCCAACTGAGGTACCTGGATCATCTCATTGGGACTGGTTAGACAGTGGGTGCAGCATCTGTAGGTGAAGGAGAGTGAGTAGTTCCCAGGAATTTCAGACATCTGAATAAATTAGAATTTTTAAAAATCTATTGACTCAGGGGTGGCTGGCAAGATGACTGAATAGGAACAGCTCCAGTCTGCAGCTCCCAGTGAGATCAATGCAGAAAGTGGGTGATTTCTGCATTTCCAACTGAGGTACCTGGATCATCTCATTGGGACTGGTTAGACAGTGGGTGCAGCCCATGGAGGGTGAGCAGAAGCAGGGTGGGGTGTCGCCTCACTCAGGAAGCTCAAGGGGTCAGGGAACTCCCTCCCCTCAGGGAAGCCATGAGGGTCTGTGCCATAAGAGATGGTGCTATCCAGCCCAGATACTATGCTTTTCCAATGGTCTTCACAACCGGCAGACAAGGAGATTCCCCTGGGTGCCTATATCACCAGGGCCCTGGGTTTCAAGCACAAAACTGGGTGGCCATTTGAGCAGACACCTAGCTAGCTGCAGGAGGTTTTTTTTTTTTTTTTTTTTTTTTGTACCCAGTAGCTCCTGGAATGCCAGTGAGACAGAACCATTCCCTCCCCTGGAAATGGGGCTGAAGCCAGGGAGCCAAGGGGTCTAGCTCAGCAGATCCCACCCCCATGGAGCCCAGCAAGCTAAGATCCACTGGCTTGAAATTCTTGCTGCCAGCACAGCAGTCTGAAGTTAACCTGGGATGCTCCAGCTTGGTTGGGGGAGGGGCGTCTGCCATTACTGAGGCTTGAGTAGGCAGTTTCCCCCTCACAGTGTAAACAAAGCCACTGGGAAGTTTGGACTGGGTGGAGCCCACCACAGCTCTGCAAAGCCACTGTAGACAGACTACCTCTCCAGATTCTTTCTTTCCGGGCAGGGCATCTCTGAAAGAAAGGCAGCAGCCTCAGTCAGGGGCTTATAGATAAAACTCCCATCTCCCTAGAACAGAGCACCTGGGGGAACGGGAGGCCATGGGTACAGCTTCAGCAGACTTAAACATTCCTGCCTGCCAGCTTTGAAGAGAGCAGCAGATCTCCCAGCATGGAGCTCGAGCTCTGCTAAGGGACAGACTGCCTCCTCAAGTGGGTCCCAGCAGGGGTTGACAGACACCTCATACAGGAGAGCTCCAGCTGGCATCTGGCAGGTGCCCCTCTGGGATGAAGCTTCCAGAGGAAGGAGCAGGCAGCAATCTTTGCTGTTCTGCAGACTTCACTGGTGATACCCAGGCAAATACAGTCTGGAGTGGACCTCCAGAAAATTCCAACAGACCTGTAGCAGAGGGGCCTGACTGTTAGAATGAAAACTAACAAAAAGAAAACAATAACATCAGCATCAACAAAAAGTATGCCCATGCAAAAACCCCATCTAAAGCTCACCAACTTCAAAGACCAAAGGTAGATAAATCCATGAAGATGAAGAAAGAGCAGTGCAAAAATGCTGAAAATTCCAAAAACCAGAATGCCTCTTCTCCTCCAAAGGATCACAAATCCTCACCAACAAGGGAACAAAACCAGATGGAGAATGAGTTTGACGAATTGACAGAAGTAGGCTTCAGAAGGTGGGTAATAACAAACACCTCTGAGCTAAAGGAGCATGTTCTATCCCAATGCAAGGAAGCTAAGAACCTTGATAAAAGGTTACAGGAACTGCTAACTAGAATAACCAGTTTAGAGAAGAATATAAATGACCCAATGGAGGTGATAAACACAACATGAGAACTTTGTGAAACATATACAGGTATCAATAGCTGATTCAATCAAGCGGAAGAAAAGATATCAGAGATTGAAGATCAACTTAATGAAATAAAGCATGAAGACAAGATTAGAGAAAAAAAAGGCCAGGCTCAGTGGCTTACATGAGTAATCCTAGCACTTTGGGAGGCTGAGGTGGGCGAATCACAAGGTCAGGATTTCAAGACCAGCCTGGCCAACATGGTGAAACCCCATCTCTACTAAAAATAAAAACAAAAATAAAATTAGCTGGGTGTGGTGGCAGGTGCCTGTGATCCCAGCTACTCGGGAGGCTGAAGCAGGAAAATCCCTTGAACCCAGGAAGTGGAGGTTGCAGAGAGCTGAGATCACGCCACTGCACTCCAGCCCAGGTGACAGTGCAAGACTCCATCTCATAAAAAAAAAAAAAAAAAAAAGAAGAAAAAGAAAAAGGAAAAAAGAGAAAAGGAATGAACAAGCTGCCAAGAAATATGGGACTATGTGAAAAGACCAAACCTACATTTGGTTGGTGTATCTGAAAGTGACAATGAGAATGGAACCAAGTTAGAAAACAAACTGTAAAATATTATCCAGGAGAACTTCCCCAATCTAGCAAAACAGGCCAACATTCAAATTCAGGAAATACAGAGAACACACCACAAAGATACTCCTCGAGAAGAGCCATCCCAAAACACATAGTCGTCGGCTTCACCAAAGTTGAAATGAAGGAAAAAGTGTTAAGGGCAGGCAGAGAAAGGTCAAGTTACCCACAAAGGGAAGCCCATCAGACTAATAGCAGATGTCTCAGCAGAAACCCTACAAGCCAGAAGAGTGGGTGCCAATATTCAATATTATTAAGGAAAAGAATTTTCAATCCATAATTTCATATCCAGCCAAACTAAGCTCCACAAGTGAAAGAAAAATAAAATCCTTTACAGACAAGCAAATGCTGAGGGAATTTGTCACCACCAGGCCTGTCTTGCAAGAGCTCCTGAAGGAAACACTAAATATGGAAAGAAAAAATTGGTATCAGCCACTGCAAAAACATACAAAAATGTAAAGACGTTTGAGACTATGAAGAAACTGCATCAACTAACAGGCAAAATAACCAGCTAGCATCATAATGACAGAATCAAATTCAAACATAACAATATTAACCCTAAATATAAATGGGCTAAATGCCCCAAGTAAAAGACAAAGGCTGACAAATTGGATGAAAAGTCAAGACCCATCGGTGTGCTGTTTTCAAAAGACCCATCTCACTTGCAAAGACACACATAGGCTCAAAATAAAAGGGATGGAGGAATATTTACCAAGAAAATGGAACGCAAAAAAAAAAAAAAAAGGAACAGTTGCAATCCTAGTCTCTCATAAAACAGACTTCAAACCAACAACAATCAAAAAAGACAAAGAAGGGCATTACATAATGGTAAAGGAATCAATGCAACAAAAAGAGCTATTCTAAATATATATCCATCCAATACAGGAGGACCCAGATTCATAAAACAAGTTCTTAGAGACCTACAAAGAGACTTAGACTCCCACACAATAATAGCAGGAAACTAACACCCCACTGTCAATTTTGGACAGATCAATGAGATGAGACAGAAAATTAACAAGGATATTCAGAACTTGAACTCAGCTTTGGACAAAGCAGACCTAATAGACATCTACAGAACTCTCCACCCCAAATCAGCAGAATATACCTTCTTCTCAGCACCACATAGCACTTATTCTAAAATTGACTACATAATTGGAAGTAAAACACTCCTCAGCAAATATAAAAGTACAGAAATCTTAACAAACAGTCTCTCAGACCACAGTGCAATCAAATTAGAACTCAGGATTAAGAAACCCACTAAAAACTGCACAACTATATGGAAACTGAACAACCTGCTCCTGAATGACTACTATGTAAACAACAAATTAAGACAAAATAAATAAGTTCTTTGAAACCAATGAGAACAAAGACACAATGTACCAGAATATCTGGGACACAGCTAAACCAGTGTTTAGATGAAAATTTATAGCACTAAATACCCACAGAAGAAGGCGGGAAAGATCTAAAATCAATACCCTAACATCACAATTAAAAGAACTGGAGAAGCAACAGCAAACAAATGCAAAAAGTAGCAGAAAGCAAGAAATCACTAAGATCAGAGCAAAACTGAAGGAGATAGAGACACAAAAAACCCTTCAAAAAAATCGATGAATCCAGGAGCTGGTTTTTTGAAAAGATTAACAAAATGGAAAGACTACTAGCCAGACTTACAAAGAAGAAAAGAGAGGAGAATCAAATAGACACAATAAAAAATGATAAAGGGGATATCACCACTGATCCCACAGAAACACAAACTACCATCAAAGAATACTATAAACACCTCTATGCAAATAAACTAGAAAATCTAGAAGAAATTAATAAATTCCTGGACATGTACACTCTCCAAAGACTAAACCAGGAAGAAGTCAAATCCCTGAATAGACCAATAACAAGTTCTGAAATTGAGGCAGTAATTAATAGCCTACCAACCAAAAAAAAGTCCAGGATCAGACTGATTCATAGCCGAATTCTACTAGTGGTACAAAGAGGAGCTGGTACCATTCCTTCTGAAACTATTCCAAACAACTGAAAAAGAGGGACTCCTCCCTAACTCATTTTATGAGGCCAGCATCCTGATACCAAAACCTGGCAGAGACACAACAAAAAAAGAAAATTTCAGGCCAATATCCCTGATGAACATCGATGTGACAATCCTCAATGAAATACTGGCAAACTGAATCCACCAGCACATCAAAAAGCTTATCCACCACGATCAAGTCAGCTTCAGCCCTGGGATGCAAGGCTGGTTCAACATACAAAACATACAACATACACAAATCAATAAATGTAATCCATCACATAAAGAGAACCAATGACAAAAAAAAACCCACAGGATTATCTAAATAGATGCAGAAAAAGCCTTCGATAAAATTCAACAGCCCTGCATGCTAAAAACACTCAATAAACTAGGTATTGGTGGAACATATCTTAAAATAATAAAAGCTATTCATGACAAACCCACAGCCAATATCATACTGAATGGGCAAAAGCTGGAAGCATTCCCTTTGAAAACTGGCACAAGACAAGGATGTCCTCTCTCACCACTCCTATTCAACATAGTATTGGAAGTTCTGGCCAGGGCAATCAGGCAAAGAAAGAAGTAAAGGATATTCAAATAGGAAGAGAGGAAATCAAATTTTCTCTGCTTGCAGATGACATGATTGTATATTTAGTCTCAGCCCAAAACCCCATTGTCTCAGCCCTAAAACTCCTTAAGCTGATAAGCAACTTCAGCAAAGTCTCAGGATACAAAATCAATGTGCAAAAATCACAAGGATTTCTATACACCAATAATAGACAAAAAGAGAGCCAAATCATGAGTGAACTCCCATTCGCAATTACTACAAAGAGAGTAAAATACCTAGGAATCCAACTTACAAGGGATGTGAAGGACCTCTTCAAGGAGAACTACAAACCACTGCTCGGGGAAATAAGAGAGGACACAAACAAATGGAAAAACATTCCATGCTAATGGATAGGAAGAATCAATATCGTGAAAATGGCCATACTGACCAAAGTAACTTATAAATTTAATGCTCTTCCCATCATGCTACCATTGACTTTCTTAACATAATTAGAAAAAACTACTTTAAATTTCACATGGAACCAAAACAGAGCCCGCATAGCCAAGACACTGCAAGGAAAAAGAACAAAGCTAGAGGCATCATGCTACCTGACTTCAAACTATACTACAAGGCTACAGTAACCAAAACAGCATGGTACTGGTACCAAAACAGATATATAGACCAATGGAACAGAATAGAGGCCTCAGAAATAACACCAAACATCTACAATCATCTGATTTTGACAAACCCGACAAAAACAAGAAATGGGGAAAGGATTCCCTATTTAATAAACGGTGTTGGGAAAACTGGCCATATGCAGAAAACTGAAACTGGACCCCTTTCTTACACCTTATACAAAAATTAACTCAAGATGGATTAAAGACTGCAATGTAAAACCTAAAACCATAAAATCCCTAGAAGAAACCTAGGCAGTACCATTCAGGACATAGGCATGGGCAAAGACTTCATGACTAAAACACCAAAAGCAGTTGCAACAATAGCCAAAATTGACAAATGGGATCTAATTAAACTAAAGAGCTTCTGCACAGCAAAAGAAACTATCATCAGAGTGAACAGGCAGCATACAGAATGGAAGAAAATTTTTGCAATCTATGCATCTGACAAAGGGCTAATATCCAGAATCTACAAGAAACTTAAACAAATTTACAAGAAAAAAACAATCCCATCAAAAAGTGAACGAAGGATATGAACAGACACTTCTCAAAAGAAGACATTTATGTGGCCAACAAACATATGAAGAAAAGCTCATCATCATCACTGGTCATTAGAGAAATGCAAATCAAAACCACAATGAGGTACCGTCTCACACCAGTTAGAATGGCAATCATTAAAACGTCAGGAAACAACAGATGCTAGAGAGGTTGTGGAGAAATAGGAATGGTTTTACACTGTTAGTGGGAGTGTAAATTAGTTCAAACATCATGGAAGACAATGTGGTGATTCCTCAAGGATCTAGAACCACAAATACCATCTGACCCAGCAATCCAATTACTGAGTATATACCAAAAGTATTATAAGTCATTCTACTATAAAGACACATGCACACATGTTTATTGCAGCACAATTCACAATATCAAAGACTTGGAACCAACCCAAATGCCCATCAGTGACAGACTGGATAAAGAAACTGTTGCACATATACACCATGGAATACTATGCAGCCATAAAAAAGCATGAGTTCATGTCCTTTGGAGGGACATGGATGAAGCTGGAAACCATCATTCTCAGCAAACTAACACAGGAACAGAAAACCAAACACCACATGTTCTCACTCATAAGTGAGAGGTGAACAATGAAAACACATGGACACAGGGAGGGGAACATCCCACACCAGTGCCTGTCGTTGGGTGGAAGGCTGGAGGAAGGACAGCATTAGGAGAAATACCTAATGTAGATGATGGGTTGATGGGTGCAGCAAACCACCATGGCACATGTATACCTATGTAACAAACCTGCACGTTCTGCACATGTATCCCAGTACTTAAAGTATAATAATTACAAAAAAATCGGCCAGGCGCGGTGGCTCACGCCTGTAATCCCAGCACTTTGGGAGGCCGAGGCGGGCGGATCACGAGGTCAGGAGATCGAGACCATCCCGGCTAAAACGGTGAAACCCCGTCTCTACTAAAAATACAAAAAATTAGCCGGGCGTAGTGGCGGGCGCCTGTAGTCCCAGCCACTTGGGAGGCTGAGGCAGGAGAATGGCGTGAACCCGGGAGGCGGAGCTTGCAGCGAGCCGAGATCCCGCCACTGCACTCCAGCCTGGGCGACAGAGCGAGACTCCATCTCAAAAAAAAAAAAAAAAAAAAAAAAAAAAATTCTATTGACTCACATAAGGGATTGAAAGAGAGTTAAAAGTAACGAATGGGCTGGGTGCGGTGGCTCACACCTGTAATCCCAGCACTTTGGGAGACCAAGGTGGGCGGATCACGAGGTCAGGAGATTGAGACCATCCTGGCTAACACGGTGAAACCCCGTCTCTACTAAAAAAATACAAAACAATTAGCCAGGCGTGGTGGTGGGTGCCTGTAGTCCCAGCTACTCAGGAGGCTGAGGCAGGAGAATGGCGTGAACCCGGGAGGCGGAGCTTGCAGTAAGCCGAGATGGCGCCACTGCACTCCAGCCTGGGTGACAGAGGGAGACTCCATCTCAAAAAAAAAAAAAAAAAAAAAAAAGTAACGAATGAATACTGTTGGACTGGTTGAGCTATTCTTTAAATGCAATGTGCTCTGACACAGGACAATGTGGGTTTATGTATTTATAACCATTGTAATGTTACATACATACACATATATTTCTGTTTTAAATGCCATTTTAAAATAGAAAATAATCACATGACAACAATGTTGACAGAAAATAAAATGCTGCATAGAGTTCAATTGCATTCTCAAATGTAAATATATGTAGAATAGTTACAAAGTATAACAGAATAGTGAGGTGATATAATCTTCTTTAAAATGTATATTTAAGTATAATAGCCATTATTTTCATGTAGAATTTCTTTGAATAATCAGAATAATTTCTTTTCTAATTCCTTTACATATGATATCCATACACTAGTAACTAAATTCAGAAATTTCCAAGGTCTACATTGCAACTCTGATTGGGTCTTCTTTCTGATAAAAGAAACACAACAAATATGGGTTTGAACTCTTACATTAAATGCTTAATTTTTCTTTAAAAAAAACCACACTTAATGTAAATTTGATATGTACTTATTTTGCTCACTAATAATCTCAATTTTTCTAGGATACCAAGATAAAATTCTTCTCATTTCTAATAAATTTTATAGTGATTTCTTCACTGCAGCTATTAATTCCCATAAAAGCACATACAATTATGATCACAGGAGAAAATGTAAGAAAACATTTCAAAGTACTCCAAGCAGATGGCTAATTATTGAGATATTATGTTGATAAAAGATGAATTATAAATCAAAAGTTGATAAGTAGTATAATACATGGAATACAAGGTTCATTTATAAATACTCACCACTCAAACCCAGTACTATCTTTTTTTTGGATGCCACTCTATACTGCATAAAACACAAAGAAAGACAAGAAAAATAAAACAGGAATGACACTTCCCTTAAGCAACTTACGTTACGCAATAAGGCATATACAAAACCAGTTGCAGTGTATAGTGACGATGATGTACAATATCAGAGGTGGGATAAATTACTTTAGTAAAGATAAGCAATGCTTGAGTTAGACCTAAATGTAGTAGGACTTAAGTAGGATTTAAACTTGCAGCTTTGAAAAAGTAGGGATTTCTAGGCAGAGCTAACAACATAAGCAAGGCCATGAAGGAAGAAAAGTGTGGCAAATGCAGTAAATAATAAAACAACTGAAGTGTAACAAGGGAAGATATGTGCATATGATGAATAAGATAAGGAGGTCACTAAATCCATAGTTAAGTAGACATTCTATTGAATTGACTGATTCACCAATTGTCAGTCATTTATGCAAGCATTTCTTGACTGCCAACTTTATGCTGAATCACTGAGTATCCCTTGAGCCCTCAAGACATTGCCCAGCAAGCTGTTCCCAAAGTTTAGTTTATTTCTTCACAAAAGGTTTTGAGGGTGCATGAAAAGCTAATCAAGACAAAGTAAACAAAGATATTAACACTTCAAGGCTTCTTGCTGCCTTCTGTCTTCCCTAACATAACAGGCAGCTTGATTTGTTTGTCAGGGGTTTCCCTCCCAGGGAAGCAACACGATGAAACCCCAGGCCATACAAGGCGTGAACCAGCCTAGCTGACTGGAGCCTCTTTATGTGTGGTAGGAGGCAATACAGCAACAGGCTTCAAGGCATGAGCTCTGAATTCAAGTTTGAGTTCAAATCCTGGCTGTCATTTACTAGCTGCATGGTCTTCAACATGTCAAGTAATGTCTGTGTCTGTTTCCTCATCTGTAATATAAATAAAGTGCTTAAAACAGTGTTTGAGACATGGTAAGTATTTAAATTATAGCTGCATGAGACCAATCTGGTCCAATCTTATATAACAGAATTGTAAGTTGTTTTTGTGTGCCATGGACCCTCTGGTCACATAATCTGAGCATGCTCAGATTAACCACACCTGCAACCACAGGGGGAATCTAAGTTCTGGGACGCAGGAGCAGGGTCTGAATTAAGAAACAGAGACCCTAGGGCAGGATTTAGGAGTCAATCAGATTGAGTTCTGGCATCACTTCGTTGCAAGATCCAATCAGATCACACCTCATTAGCCTATGCTTATGTGATGGTTAATACTGAGTGTCAACTTGATTGGATTGAAGGATGCAAAGTATTGATCCTAGGTGTGTCTGTGATGATATTGCCAAAGGAGATTAACATTTGAGTCAGTGGGCTGGGAAAGGCAGACCCACCCTTAATCCGGATGGGCACCATCTAATCAGCCGCCAGTGCAGCTAGAATATAAAGCAGGCAGAAAAATGTGAAAAGGCTAGACTGGCTTAGCCTCCCAGCCTACATCTTTCTCCCTTGCTGGATGCTGCCTGCCCTTGAACATCTGACTCCAAGTTCTTCAGCTTTTTGAGACTTGACTGGCTTCTTTGCTCGTCAGCTTGCAGATGGCCTATTGTGGGACTTTGTGATTGTGTGAGTTAATACTACTTAATAAACTTCCCTTTATATACATATCTATCCTATCAGTTCTGTCCCTCTAGAGAATCCTAATACAGTTTTTATAGCTTGATCCAGCCCCCAGCTGGGGAGACCCTGTTTTGGGAACCAGCCCCCGTGTTCACCTTAGTTGTTACAAGTATTAACATTCCCTTGCTAAATCCTTCTTGACTGTGGTCATTGGGTTGATGTCTGCCAAGCTACCAAACCCACCTATTGGGTGCAGAACAAAATGTCAACTATTACGACAGTTTGGCATAAAAAATAATGATCTAAACAATGAGAGACAGCTCCCTGTTAATAGTCTTGGGGCTTCTTTAAAGATAGCAGAGTTTCTCAGCACCTGGAGAATTGTGCTCTGGTTTGCTTCCTTCTGTTCAAGACTATTGTCCTTGCATGAAGAGCTGTGTATTGCTTTTTCTAACCATTTGGCTTATGCCATGCCTGTTTTCATCTAGTCCTGACATGTAGGTTGGGCAAATTGATGCTTATAGATTTGAAGATACATATCTAATCCAAGGCTGATATGCATTTAATGTTGTTTAATATAAACATAAAAGAGTTGAGAATTTTAAGGCAATATCAACTTTTCCAAGAAGAAAATTGATCAGTTAGTTCTCCAGTATTCCAATTTTACTCTATTTTCAGGTAATGTAACATTTCAGATCCAGTCTCACTGTGTTTTGATTTTTAGTTTTTTTGGGACAGGGTCTCTCTGTGTCATCCAGGCTGGAGTGCAGTGTCATGATCGTGGCTCACTGCAGCCTCAATTTCCTGAGCTCAAGTGATCCTCCCACCATAGCCTCCTGAGTAGCTGGGACCACAGGCATGCATCACCATGCCTGCCTAATTTTTTAACTTTGGTTTTGTAGAGATGGGTGTCTCCTTATATTTTATTTTAAATTTTATTATAGATTCAGGGAGTACGTGTGCAGGTTTGTAACATGGATATATTGCATAATGCTGGAGTTTGCGCTTCTACTGAACCCCAAATAGTAAATATAGTAGCCAATAGATTGTTTTTCAACCCTCACCCACTCCCTTATACTCCTCTTTTGGAATCATCAGTGTCTATTATTTCTATCTTTAAGTCCATTGTGTCCCATTGTTTAACTCTTACTTATAAGTGAGAACACACGATATTTGAATATCAGTTTCTGAGTTATTTCACTAATGGGCTTCCAGTTCCCTTCATGCTGCTGCAAAAGACATGATTTCATTCCTTTTTATAGCTGTGTAGTATTCCATGGTGTATATATACCATATTTTCTTCATCCAATAATCCACTGATGTGTGCTTAGGTTGATTCCATGACTTTGTTATTGTGAATAGTGCTGTGATAAACATATGAATGCAGGTGTCTTTTTTATATAATGATTTATTTTCCTTTGGGTAGATACCCAGTAGTGGGATTCGCAGGTCAAATGATAGTTCTATTTTTAGTTCTTTGAGAAATCCCCATACTCTTTTCCACAGGGCTTAGCCTAATCTACATTCCAGCGTGTAAGCGTTTCCTTTCCTCCACATCCTAGCTGACACCTGTTATGTTTTGACTTTTTAATAACACCCATTCTAACTGGCATGAGATGGTACTTTCTTGTGGTTTTAATTTGCATTTTTCTGATGATTAGTGATGTTGAGCATTTTTTAATATGTTTCTTGGCTGTTTGTATGTCTTCTTTTGAGAAGTGTCTGTTTATGTCCTTTGCCTACTTTTTAAAAAAACTTTTATTTTAAGTTCAGGGGTACATGTGCTGGATGTACAGATTTGTTACATAGGTAAATGTGTCATAGAGGTTTGTTGTACAGATTATTTCATCATCCAGGTATTAAGCCTAGTATCTGTTATTTTTCTTGATCCTCTCCCTCCTCCCACCCTCCGCCCTCCAGTAGGCCCCAGTGTGTGTTGTTTCCATCTAAGTGTCCATGTGTTCTCATTATTTAGCTCCCACTTGTAAGTGAGAACATGCAATATTTGGTTTTCTCTTCCTGCATTAGTTTGCTAAGGATAATGACCTCCAGCTCCATTCAAGGACATGAAGTCTTTTTTTTATTGCTGCATAGTATTCTATGGTGTATATTTACCACAATTTCTTTATCCATCTATCATTGATGGGCATTTAGGTTTATTCCATGTCTTTGCTATTGTGAATAGTGCTACAGTGAACATACATGTGCATGTGTCTTTATAAGAAAACAATTTATATTTCTTTGTCTATACCCAGTAATGGGATTGTTGGGTCTAATGGTATTTCTGTCTGTAGGTTTGAGGAATTGCTACACCGTCTTTCACAATGGTTGGACTAATTTACACTCCCACCAACAGTGTAAAAGCATTCATTTTTCTCCACAACCTCACCAGCTTCTGTTATTTTTTGACTTTTTAATAATAGACATTCTGACTGGTGTGAGATAGTATATCATTGTGGTTTTGATTTGCATTTCTCCAATGATCAGTGATGTTGAGCTTTTCTCATATGATTCTTGCTTTGCCTACTTTTTAATGGGTTTATTTGACTTTGGCTTTGTATTAGTTTTCACACTGCTATAGTGACATACCGAAGACTGGGTAATTTATAAAGAAAAGAATTTTAATTGACTCACAGTTCTGCAGGGGTGGGAAGGCCTCAGGAAACTTGCAATCATGGCAGAAGGGGAAGAGACATATCTTACATGGTGGCAGGTGCGAGAGAGAGAGGCAAGCAAAAGAGGAAGAGCCCTTTATAAAACCATCAAATCTTGTGAGAACTCATTCACTATCATGAGACAGCATGGGGGAAACGACCCCCATGATTTAATTACCTCCACCTGGTTTCTCCCTAGCCACATGGGAATTATGGAGATTATAATTCAAGATGAGATTTGGATGGGGACACAAAGCCTAACCCTGTAATAAAACTCAGTTGATTGTGATGAATCATCTTTTTAATGTGCTGCTGGGTTTTTGTTTCTAGTATTTTGCTGAGGATTTTTGCATCTATGTTTATCAGGAATATTTTGCTGTAGTTTTCTCTTTATGGCCTTGCCAGATTTTGGTATCAGGATGATAACGTTTTCATGGAATGAGTTATGGAGGAATCTGTTCTCAATTTTTTGAAATTGTTGCAGTAAGATTGGTACTCGCTATTCTTTTTATGTCTGGTAGAATTTGGCTATGAATCCTTCTAGGCCTGGGCTTTTTTTTTTTGGTTGGTTGATTTTTTTTATTACTGATTCAATTTCTTAACTCACTATAGGTCTGTTCTGGATTTCAATTTCTTCCTGGTTCAGTCTTCAGTGGTTGTATCTTTCCAGGAATTCATTCGTTTACTCTATGTTTTCTAGTTTGTGCTCATAGAGATGTTCATAGTAGTCCCTAAGGATCTTTTGTATTTCTGTGGAATGAGTTTTAATGACACCTTTATCATTTCTGGTTCTGCTTGTTTGAATGTTGGTTTTTCAGTTCCTTTAGATGCAATATTAAGTTGTTAATTTAATATCTTTCTATATTGTAGATGTAGGCATCTAGTGCTGTAATCTCCTCTTAGCTACTTTTGCTGTATTCCAGAGGTTTTGGTATGTTGTGTCTCTGTTTCCATTGGTTTTTAAAAAATGTTGATTTCTGCCATAATTTTTGTTTACTCAAACGTTATTCAGGAGCAAACTGTTTAATTTCCATGTACTTGTGTGGTTTTGAGAGTTCCTCTTGGTGTTGATTTCTAATTTTATTCTACTGTGGTCTGAGACGATGCTTGATATGATTTCAATGTTTTGACATTATTAAGACTTGCTTTCTGACCAAGCATATGGTCTATTTTAGAGAATGTTCCATGCACAGCTGAGAAATATGTATAGTCTGCATTGGTAGGTGGAATGTTCCATAGGTGTCTATTATGTCCATTTGGTCAAGAGTACAATTTATGTCCTCAGTTTATTAGTTTTCTGCCTTAATGATCCGTCTAGTGCTGTCAGTAGGGTGTTGAAGTCCTCAACTATTATTGTATGCTTATCTCTTTTTTTAAAGTCTAGTAGTATTTGTTTTATAAATCTGGGTGCTCTGATGTTGGGTGCATACTCAGGATATTCCTGAGTTATTCACTCAGATATGTTTTCTATATTTGGATAGTTAAATCTTCTTGTTGAATTGAATCTTTTATAATTGTATAATGCCATTTTTTTGTATTTTTTTTCCACTGGTTTTGGTTTAAAGTCTGTTTTATCCGATAAAAGAATAGCAATCCCTGCTCTTTTTTTTTGTTTTCAATATGCATGATAGATCTTCCTCCATCCCTTTGCTTTGATCTTGTAGGTATTATTATATATGAAATGGGTCTTTTAAAGGAAGTAGATAATTGGATCATTTTTAAAAATCCATTTTGTCAATCTATGTCTTTTAAGCGAAGTATTTAGGTCATTATATTCAAGGTTAATATTGATATGTGAAGTCATAGTGTTGTCAGCTAGTTGCTTTGTAGTCTCAATTGTGTAATTGCTTTATAGGATCTGTAAACTTTGTACTTATGTGTGCTTTTATGGTTGGTAAGTATTGTCCTTTTGGTGTTATTTAGAGCTCCTTTGAGCATTTCTTGTGGAACTGGTCTGGTAGTGATAAATTCCCTTGGCAGTTGCTTGCCTGGGAAAGACTTTATTTCTCCTTCATTTATGAAGCTTAGTTTGGCAGGATATAAAATTCTTGGCTAATTTTCTTTTTGTTTAAGACGGCTAAAAATAGGCCTCCAATCTCTTCTGGCTTGTAAGGTCTCTGCTTAAAAGTTTGCTGTTAGTGGGATGAGATTTCTTTTGTAGGTAATCTGGCCCTTTTCTCTAGTTATCTTTAAGATTTTTTCTTCAGCATTGACCTTGGATAATCTCATTACTTTTTGCCTTGGGGATGGTCATTTTGTATAGTGTCTTGCAGGTGTTCTCTGAATTTCTTGTATCTGGATGTTGAACTCTCTAGCAAGAATAGGGAAATTTTCCTGAATTATTCCTTCAAATATGTTTTCCAAGTTGCTTATTTTTTCTTCTCTTTCAAGAATGCCAGTAAGTCATAGGTTTGGTCATTTTACATAATCTCATATTTCTCAAAAGCTTTGTTCATTTCTTAAAATTATTTTTTCTTTATTTTTGTCTGACTGGGTTAATTTGAAAGGTTGGTCTTCAAGCTCTGAAATTCTTTCTTCTGCTTGATCTAGTCTATTGTTTCAGCTTCCAATTATATTTTGAAGTTCTTTAGTGAATATTTTTCAATTTCAAAGTTCTATTTGCTTTTTTTAAAATATAGCTATCTTGTGTTTCATATCCAGAATCATTTTTTTCTGGTTTCTTTGTTTCTATTTTCAACTTTCTCTTGGATTTTGTTGAGTTTCTTTGTCATCTACATTTTGAATTCTTTATCAAAATGTAGATTTCAGTTTATTTCAGACTTTTCATTTTGGTTAGGACACATTGCTAGAGAGCTAGTGCAATCCTTTGGAGCTGTCAAGACAACTTGTCTTTTTGTATTGCTGAAGTTCAAGCACTGATTCCCTTTCATCTAAGGGAGCTGTTATTTCTTATTTTTGAATTTGCTATTCTTTGAATGGGACTTTTAAAATTTTTATTCTTTTTTCCCTTGAGAATATGACTGTGTTGTATGTTACGTATGATTGGTTTAATTTCTGGGTGCTTTCATGGGGTCAAAGCTCTGTATGGGTTCCTTGGTTGTGGATAGCTTCTATGTGGTGGCTTTCTCAGATGTTGCTTGTTGTAGTGATGTATTGGACATAAGAGCCAACATGCTGTCTCGTGCATGGCTGAGGATGTGGAGGTCTCAGAAAGCTTATCTCATCCACTAAGCACTAAGCCCTTCTGGCAGATTTTTTTTTTTTTTATTTAGTGGTGCAGTTTAGCCTCCAGTCCAGTAGGTGGTGCTTAAGAGTAAGAGCCAACTCAGGAAAACTAATAATGAGTGGAAGTTCCCACCCCGATGGGAGTGGTCAGAGGAGACTGTGTTGGAGTGCACTGAGGTCTCTGGGGATGGTGCAGGGAGGGGCGCACCAGTTCCTATCCTGAGCCCACAGGAACACAATCTGTTTCCTTTTCACACCTTTGTCACAGGGCTCATGACCTTCAGCTCATTTAGACTTTGAACATTTGGTTCCATGCCATAGTGTGGCTGCAGGCCTTGTATACACCCCTCCGGTGGCCACCACCAAAATGGGCCCCAGGCAGAGCCTCTTCATCCAGTCCTCGGTGGACAACTCTGTGGCTTGTCTGCTCTTTGTTGCTAGGATGTTGCTGCTCTGTGTTTCTGTGTAGGGAGGTAGTTGACCCCTGCTCTTCCTGCAAGCCCAAGTAGTGCAGGCTCACTTTTAACAGGGGTGAAGCTATTGACAAAAGCACAAAAAGTGCATTCTCCAAATACACATTCACCTGCCCCCAGGAGAGAGAACCTCTATTGCTTTGGCAACAGTGAGGGGAGGCAGTGAGGAGATGACAATTTTCCATGTCTATTCCTGGCATCTGGTGCTGCCCTTTTCAGTGAATGGCATGATTAGCACTGCATCCATATTTTTTTTTTGTCCCAAGGGGAGCTTTGGTGAGCTGCACACCCCTCTCACTTAGGGGTGACCCCCATTGAGGGTAAGATCTCCAGGTGTCCTGTACCTCCCAGTGACCTGCTGGTCCCCTGTATTTTGCCACAGTCAGAGAAGGCTGTGGGGTAGGTTTGTGAGGGATCTGGTGGTGCAGTGACTCAGGAGAAGAGATTGCCTGGGCAGGGCAGTGGCCTACCAGTATGGTGCCTGACTTCTCCTTTCTGGCCTTAGGGGAGTGCAGTTATGCTTGTGTGAGGTGACCACCTGGTTCTGTGTCCCTGGGAAGTTCTTAAGTTGCTGCCAACAGTGTTATCCAGGGTTATCAGGGCAGGGGGTTACCCTAACAGTTTAGGAGTCAACAGGTGGTTGTAGGGGTGAAGGGAGCAGAGACACACTGCGACCTACCCTTTCTGTGGGGCTTCGAGTTCCTCAGGGGGTTATTCTCTGCCAGATTCTTTCTGCTTTTCTTTTCTGCACCCCAGCTTCTTTCCATCAGGACTCCAACAGGTTCCGGCTCTCTTCCCTTAGTTTTCCGTTCAAGCCATGTCCATTCACCAGTAGCTGTGGTCTTCTTTTTGAGGAGAAGTGACATCTTATGCTCCTAGGCTAGTCAGCCATCTGAAAAAAGAAGCCCCAAGGACTCTTCCAAGATGGCCGAATAGGAACAGCTCCGGTCTGCAGCTCTCAGTGAGATTGATGCAGAAGAAGGGTGATTTCTGCATTTCCAACTGAGTTACCTGGTTCATCTCACTGGGACTGGTTGGACAGTGGGTGCAGCCCACAGAGGGCAAGCCAAAGCAGGGCTGGGCATCACCTGACCCAGGAAGCACAAGGGTCAGGGGATTTCCCTTTTCTAGCCAAGGGAAGCCATGAGAGACTATACTGGGAGGAAGGGTACACACCTACCCAAATACTGCACTTTTCCCACAGTCTTCACAACTGGCAGACCAGGAGATTCCCTCCAGTGCCTGGCTTGGCAGGTCCCATGCCCACGGAGCCCAGCAAGCTAAGATCCATTAGCTTGTAATTCTCGCTGCTAGTACAGCAATCTGAGATCCACCTGGAATGCTGGAGCTTGGTGGGGGGAGGGGTGTCCACCATTGCTGAGGCTTGAGTAGGCAGTTTTATACTCACAGTGTAAACAAAGCTGCTGGGAAGCTCAAACTGGGTGGTGCCCACGGCAGCTCAGCAAGGCCAACTGTCTCTCTCGATTCCACCTCTGTGGGCAGGGCATATCTGAACAAAAGGCAACAGCCCAGTCAGGGACTTATAGATAAAACCCTCATCTCCCTGGGTCAGAGCACCTGGGGGAAGGGGCGACTGTGGGCACAACTTCTAGACTTAAACATCCCTGCCTCACAGCTCTGAAGGGAGCAGTGGTTCTCACAGCATGGTGTTTGAGCTCTGATAATGGACAGGATGCCTCCTCAAATGGGTCCCTGACCCCCGTGTTGCCTCCCAGTAGGGGCCGACAGAAACCTCATACAGGAGAGCTCTGGGTGGCATCTGGCAGCTGCCCCTCTGGGACGAAGCTTCCAGAGGAAGGATCAGGCAGCAATACTTACTTTTCTGCAGTCTCTGCTGGAGATACTCAGTCAAACATTATCTGGAATGGACCTCCAGCAAACTCCAACAGACCTGCAGCTGAGGGGCCCGACTGTTAGAACAAAAACTAACAAACAGGAATAGCATCAACATCAACAAAAAGGACATTCATGCCAAAACTCCATTCATAGGTCACCAACATCAAAGACCAAAGGTAGAAAAAAACTACAAAGATGGGGAGAAACCAGAGCAGAAAGGCTGAAAATTCCAAAAACCAGAATGTACCTTCTCTTCCAAAGGATCACAACTCCTCACCAGCAAGGGAACAAAACAGGATGGAGAATGAGTTTGACTAGCTGACAGAAGTAGGCTTCAGAAGGTGTGTAATAACAAACTTCTCCAAGCTAAAAGAGCATATTCTAACCCACTGCAAGGAAACTAAAAACGTTGAAAAAAGGTTAGATGAATGGCTAACCAGTGTAGAGAAGAACATAAATGACCTGATGAAGCTGAAAAACACAGCACAAGAATTTCATGAAAAATACACAAGCTTTAATAGCCAATTTGATCAAGCAGAAGAAAGGATATCAGTGATTAAAGATCAAATTGATGAAATAAAGCAAGAAGACAAGATTAGAGAAAAAAAGAGTGAAAAGAAATGAACAAAGCCTCCAAGAAATATGGGACTATGTGGAAAGACCAAATCTATATTTGATTGGTGTACCTGAAAGTGGTGGGGAGAATGGAACCAAGTTAGAAACCACTTTAAAATATTATGTAGGAGAACTACCCCAACCTAGCAAGCAGGCCAACATTCAAATTCAGGAAATACAGAGAGCACCATAAAGATATTCCTCAAGAAGAGCAACCCAAGACACATAATAGTCAGATTCACCAAGGTTGAAATGAAGGAAAAAATGTTAAGGGCAGCCAGATAAAGGTTGGGTTACCCACAAAAGGAAGCCCATCAGACTAATAGCAGATCTCTCAGCAGAAACCCTACAAGCCAGAAGAGAGTGGGGACCAATATTCAACATTCTGAAAGAAAAGAATTTTCAACCAAGAATTTCATATCCAGCCAAACTAAGCTTCGTAAGTGAAGGAGAAATAAAATCCTTTACAGACAAGCAAATGCTGAGAGATTTTGTCACCACCAGCCCTGCTTTACAGGAGCTCCTGAAGGAAGCACTAAACATGGAAAGAAACGACCGGTACTAGCCAGTGCAAAAACATGCCAAATTGTAAAGACCATCGATGCTATGAAGAAACCGCATCAATTAATGGGCAAAATAACCAGCTAACATCATAATGACAGGATCAGATTCACACATAACAATATTAACCTTAAATGCAAATGGGCTAAATGCCCCAATTAAAAGGAACAGACTGGCAAATTGGTTAAAGAGTCAAGACACATAGTGTGCTGTATTCAGCACATTCCAATCAGTGTGCTATATTCAGGAGAAGTGTCTCATGTGTAAAGACACACATAGGCTCAAAATATTAACCTTAAATGTAAATGGGCTAAATGACCCAATTAAAACACACAGACTGGCAAATTGGATAAAGAGTCAAGACCCATCAGTGTGCCGTATTCAGCACATTCCAATCAGTGTGCTGTGTTCAGGAGGCGCATCTCAAGTGCAAAGACACACATAGGCTCAAAATAAAGAGATGGAGGAAGATCTAACAAGCAAATGGAAAATTAAAAAAAAGGCAGCAGTTGCAATCCTAGTCTCTGATAAAACAGACTTTAAACCAACAAAGATCAAAAGAGACAAAGAAGGCCATTAAATAATCTTAAAAGGGATCAATTCAGCAAGAAGAGCTAACTATCCTAAATATATATTCACCCAATACAGAAGCACCCAAATTCATAAAGCAAGTTCTTACAGACCTACAAAGAGACTTAGACTCCCACACAATAATAATTGGAGACTTTAACACCCCACTGTAAATATTAGACAGATCAACAAGACAGAAAATTAACAAAGATATCCAGGACTTGAACTCAGCTCTGGACCAAGTGGACCTAATAGACATCTACAGAGCTCTCCAGCCCAAATCAACAGAATAGACATTCTTCTCAGTACCACATTGCACTTACTCTAAAATTGCCCACATAATTGGAAGTAAAACACTCCTCAGCAAATGTAAAAGAACAGGAATCACAACAAATTGTCTCTCAGACCACAGTGCAATCAAATTAGAACTCAGGATTAAGAAACTCACTCAAAACCAAACAACTATATGGAAACTGAACAACCTGTTCCTAAATGACTACTGTGTAAATGACAAAATTAAGGCAGAAATAAAGATATTCATTGAAACCAATGAGGATAAAGACACAACATACCAGAATCTCTGGGACACATTTAAAGCAGTGTGTAGAGGAAAAGTTATAGCACTAAATTCCCACAAGAGAAAGCAGGAAAGATCTAAATTCAACACCCTAACATCACAATTAAAAGAACTAGAGAAGCAAGAGCAAACAAATTCCAAAGCCAGCAGAAGACAAGAAATAACTAAGATCAGAGCAGAACTGAAGGAGATAGAGACATGAAAAAACTTTCAAAAAATCAATGAATCCAGGAGCTGGTTTTTTTTTTTGAAAGATCAACAAAATAGACCACTAGCAAGGCTAACAAAGAAGAAAAGAGAGAAGAATCAAACAGACGCAATAAAAAATGATAAAGGGGATATCACCATTGATCCCACATAAATACAAACTACCATCAGAGAATACTATAAACACCTCTATGCAAATAAACTAGAAAATCTCGAAGAAATGGATAAATTCTCAGACACATACACCCTCCCAAGACTAAACCAGGAAGAAGTCAAATATCTGAATAGACCAATAACAGGTTCTGAAATTGAGGCAATAATTAATAGCTTATCAACCAATAAAAGCCCAGGGCCAGATGGATTCACAGCCAAATTCTATGAGAGGTACAAAGAGGAGCTGGTACCATTCCTTCTGAAACTATTCCAATCAATAGAGAGAGAGGGAATCCTCCCTAACTAATTTAATGAGGCCAGCATCATCCTGATACCAAAGCCAGGCAAAGACACAACAAAAAAAGAGAATTTTAGACCAATATCCCTCATGAACATCGAAGCAAATATCCTCAATAAAATACTAGCAAAATGAATCCAGCAGCACATCAAAAAGCTTATCCACCACAATCAAGTTGGCTTCATCCCTGGGATGCAAGGCTGGTTCAACCTATGCAAATCAATAAACATAACCCATCATATAAACAGAACCAATGACAAAAACCACATGATTATCTCAATAGATGGAGAAAAGGCCTTCAACAAAATTCAACAGGTCTTCATGCTAAAAAGCTCTCAAAAACTAGGTATTAATGGAACATATCTCAAAATAATAAGAGCTATTTATGACAAACCCACAGACAATATCATACTGAATGGGCAAAAACTGGAAGCAGTCCCTTTGAAAACTGGCACAAGACAAGGATGTCCTCTCTCAGCACTCCTATTCAACATAGTATTGGAAGTTCTGGCCAGGGAATCAGGCAAAAGAAAGAAATAAAGGGTATTCAAGTAGGAAAAGGGGAAGTCAAATTGTCTCTGTTTGCAGATGACATGATTGTATATTTAGAAAACCCCATCGTCTCAGCCCAAAATCTCCTTAAGCTGATAGGCAACTTCAGCCAAGTCTCAGGATACAAAATCAACGTGCAAAAATCACAAGCATCCCTATACACCAATAACAGACAGAGAGCCAAATCATGAGTGAACTCCCATTCACAATTGCTACAAAGAGAATAAAATACCTAGGAATCAAACTTACAAGGGATGTGAAGGACCTCTTCAAGGAGAAATACATAAAACTGCTCAATGAAATAAAAGGGGACACAAAAAAATTGAAGAACATTCCCTGCTCATGGATAGGAAGAATCAATATTGTGAAAATGGCCATACCGCGCAAAGTAATTTACAGATTCAATGCTATCTCCATCAAGCTACCACTGACTTTCTTCACAGAATTGGAAAAAAAACTACTTTAAAGTTCATATGGAACCAAAAAAGATCCCACATAGCCAAGACAATTGTAAGCAAAAAGAACAAAGCTGGAGGCATCACACTAAGTGACTTCAAACAATACTACAAGGCTACCTTAACCAAAACAGCATGGTACTGGTACCAAAACAGAGATATAGACCAATGGAACAGAACAGAGGCCTCAGGAATAACACCAAACATCTACAACCATCTGATCTTTGACAAACCTGACAAAAACAAGCAATGGGGAAAGGATTCCCTATTTAATAAATGGTATTGGGAAAACTGGCTAGCTATATGTAGAAAGCTGAAACTGGACCCCTTCCATACACCTTATATAAAAATTAATTCAAGATGGATTAAAGACTTAAATGTAAGACCAAAAACCATACAAACCCTAGAAGAAAACCTAGGCAATACCATTCAGGACATAGGCACAGGCAAAGACTTCATGACTAAAACACAAAAAGCAATGGTAACAAAAGCCAAAAGAGACAAATGGGATCTAATTAAACTAAAGGGCTTCTTCACAGCCAAAGAAACTATTAGCAGAGTGAACAGGCAACCTACAGAATGGGAGAAAATTTTTGCAATCTATCCCTCTGACAAAGGGCTAATATCCAGAATCTACAAAGAATTTAAACAAATTTACAAGACAAAAACAAATAACTTCATCAAAAAGTAGGTGAAGGATATGAACAGACACTTCTCAAAAGAAGACATTTATGCAGCCAACAGACATATGAAAAAATGCTCATCATCACTGGCCATTAGAGAAATGCAAATCAAAACCACAGTGAGATACCATCTCACACCAGTTAGAATGGTGATCATTAAAAAGTCAGAAACAACAGATGCTGGAGAGGATGTGGAGAAATAGGAATGGTTTTGCACTGTTTGTGGGAGTGTAAATTAGTTCAACCATTATGGAAGACAGTGTGGCGATTCCTCAAGGATCTAGAACTAGAAATACCATTTGACCCAGCAATCCCATTACTGGGTATATACCCAAAGGATTATAAATCATGCTACTATAAAGAAACATGCACACATATGTTTACTGTGACACTATTCACAGTAGCAAAGACTTGGAACCAACCCAAATATCCATCAATAATAGACTGGATAAAGAAAATGTGGCACATATACACCATGGAATACTATGCAGCCATAAAAAAGGATGAGTTCATGTCCTTTGCAGGGACATGGATGAAGCTGGAAACCCTCATTCTCAGCAAAATGTCACAAGGATGGGAAATCAAACACTGCATGTTCTCACTCATAAGTGGGAATTGAACAATGAGAACACATGGACACAGGGAGGGAAACATCACACACTGGGGCCTGTCATGGGGTGGGGGGCTCGGGGAGGGATAGCATTAGAAGAAATACCTAATGTAAATGACGAGTTGATGGGTGCAACAAACCAACATGGTACATATAAACCTATGTAACAAACCTGCACTTTGTGCACATGTACCCTAGAACTTAAAGTATAATTTAAAAAAAAGAAAGAAAAAAGAAGCCCCAGGCTTATCATTTTTTGACACAGATTCCTGGTCAAATTATAAGTCACTGTTCTCTGTGATCCCAAGTGTTAGGTATTGTGCTACCCCCTTCCTCCATTTTAAAAAAATAAACTTTATTTTTTAGAGCAGTTTTAGGTTTGCAGCAAAATTGAGCAGAAAGCGCAGAGGGTTCCTATGTCCCACTGACCCCACAAATGCACAGCCTCCCCACTATTGACATCACCACCACATGGAGGCATTTGTTAGATTCGATAAACCTACACTGACACATCATTTTCACCTAAATTCCGTAGTTTACATTAGGGTTGATTCTTGATGCTGCACATTCTATTGGTTTGGACAAATGTATGATGGCATGTAGCCACTATCTGCGTATCATACAGAGTAGTTTCACTGCCCTAAAAATCCTCTGTGTTCTGCCTATTTATCCCTCCTTTCCCACTAACCCCTGGAAATCACTGATATTTTTGTAGTCTTCATAGTTTGTCTTCAGAATGGCATATGGTTGGAATCATACAGGGTATCCTTTTTAGATTATTTTACTTCTCTTAGTAATATGCATTTAAGTTTTCTCCATGTCTTTTCATAGCTTGAGAACTCAATTATTTTTAGACTTGAATAATATTCCATTATTTGAAAGTGCCAGAGTTTATTCATTTACTTATTGAAGGACATCTTGGTTGATTCCAGGTTTTGCATCTCTGTGTATGTTTTTTGGTGTGGACATAACTTTTCAACTATTTGATTAAATACTATGAAGTGTAATTGCTGGATTATATGTTAACAGTATGTTTCATTTTGTGAGAAACTGCCAGACTGATTTCCAAAATGGCTGTACCATTTTGCATTCCCATCAGCAAATAATTAGAATGCTTATTCTTCTACATCCTCACCAGCATTAGTTCTTGTCAGTGTTTTGGATTTTTGTCATTCTAATAAGTGTACAGTGGTATCTCATTTTTGTTTTCATTTGCAATTCCCTAAAGACATATGATGTGGAGCATCTTTTCATATGCTTACTTGTCTTTTGTACATCTTCTTTGGTTAAATGTCTGTTCAGGTATTTTGCCCATTTTAAAATTGGGTTGTTCATTTTCTTATTGTTGAATTCTAAGAGTTCTTTGTATATTTTCAGTAACAGTCCTTTGTCAGGTGTGACCTTTGCAAATATTTTCTTCCAGTCTGTAATTTGTTTTCTTATTCTCTTGGCATTGTCTTTTCAGAGCAGATGTTTTAAATTTTAATAAAGTCTAACTTTTGAATTATTTTATGGATTGTACCTTTGGTGTTACATCTAAAAAGTTTTTGTTATACCTGAGGTTATCTAGGTTTTCACCTATGTTTTCTTCTAGAGGTTTTATAATTTTCCATTTTATATGTAGGTATACAACTCATTTTGAGTTAACTTTTGTAAAAGGTATAAGGTCTGTGTCTAGATTTTTTTTTTTTTTTTTTTGCTTATGGATGTACAGTTGTTCCTGCATCATTTGTTGAAAAGACTCTTTTTGTTCTGTTGTATTGCCTTTGCTCCTTTGCCAGTGATTAGTTCACTTTATTTATGTGGATATATTTCTGGACTTTGCATTCTGTTCCATTGATCTATTTCCTATTCTTTCACAAATACTATAGTTTCTTGATTACTGTAGGTTTATAATAAGTCTTGAAGTCAGGTGGTGTCAATTATCCAACTTTGTTCCTCTCCTTCAATATTGAGTTGGCTATTCTGAATCTTTTGCCTCATGTAAATTTTAGAATCTGTATGTCAATATCCACATAATTTACTTGGATTTTGATTGTGATTGCACAGAATCTATAGATCAAGTTGGGGAGAACTCATATCTTGACAATATTATGTCTTCTTATCCACAAACATGTACTATTTCTCCAATTATTTGGTTCTTTGATGTCTTTTATCAGAGTTTTATAGTTTTCCTCATATAGATCTTATACATAAATATTTCATTAGATTTAAACCTAAATATCTCACTTTTGAGGGAGTTAATATAAATGGTAATGTGCTTTTTATTTCAAATTTCACTTGTTCATTGCCAGTATATAAGAAAGTGATTAACTTTTATATATTAACCTTATATCCTGTGACCTTGTTAAAATCAGTTATAAGTTCCAAGAGTCTCTTTGTCTATTCTTTCAGATTTTCTTTATAGATGAGCAGGTCCTCTTCAAACTAAGACAGTTTTATTTTTTCCTTCTCAATTAGTATGCCTTTTATTTCATTTTCTCATCTTACTGCATTAACTAAATTTTGCAGTAGAATGTGAATAGGCAATTGTGAGAAGAGATATCCTTACCTTGTTCCTGATCTTAACAGGAAAGCTTCTAGTTTCTTATTATTAGTAGGATGTTAACTGTAACACTTTTCATAGATTTTACTCATTAAGTTGAGGAAGGTCCTCTGTATTTCTAGTTTGATGGGAGTTCTTATTATGAGGAGGTGTTTGATTTTTGTCAAATGCTTTTTCTGCCCTAGTGACAGGATCTTGTGATTTTTCTTCTTTAGCTTGTAAATGTGATAGATCACATTACCTGATTTTCAAATTTTGAAACAGACTTACATACTTGGGATAAATCTCACTTAGTGTATACTTCTTTTTACATACTGCTGGATTCAATTTGCTAATATTTGATGGAGAATTTTTGCATCTATTTTAATGAGAGATATTGGCCTATTGTTTTCTCTCCTTGTAAGGTCTTTGGTTTTGATATTAGGGTAATGCTAGCCTCATGGAATGAGTTAGGAAGTATTTTATCTGATTTTATATTCTGAAATAGATTGTAGAGAATAGGTTTAATTTCTTCCTTAAATGTTTGGTAGAATTTACCAGTGAACACATCTGGGCCTGATGCTTTCTATTTAGGAAGATTATTAGACTACTGTTATTTTATCAATTTCTTTAATAGATATAAGCCTATTCATATCATCTATTTCGTCTCGTGTGAGTTTTGGCAGGTTGTATATTTCATGGAATTTGTCAAATTTGTAGGCATAGAGTTTTAATAATATTTCTTTATTATTTTTATTGTCCATAGTATCTACAGTAATAGCTTTCCTTTGTATCTTATAATAGTAATTTGTATCCTTTTTTGTTCGTTAGCCTCACTAGAGACCTATTAATTTTATTGAAATATTTTAACAGCAGCTTTTGATTTTATTGACATTCTCCATTGATTTCTGCTCTAATTTTTATTATTTTTTCCTTCTCCTTACTTTAAATTTACTATCCTCCTCTCTTTCTATTATACTGAGGTAACAGCTTAGATGATTAATTTTAGATTTTTCTTCTTTTCTAATAGTGTATTTAATGCTGTGAATCTCCCTCTAAGCAATGTTTTCACTGCATTCCACAAATTCTGATCAGTTATATTTCATTTCCATTTAGTTCAAATAGTTTTTAATTTTCTTGAGATATCTTCTTTGACTTATATTTTATTTATAAGTGTGTTGCTTAATCTCCACATCTTTCAAGCTTTTCCAGCTATCTTTCTGTTACTAATTTATAATTTAATTCTATGGTCTTAGAGCAGACATTGTAAGATTCCTGTTCTTTTAGATTTGTTAAGTTGTTTATTATGGCCCAGAATGTGGTCTATCTTGATGAAAGTTCCATATAAGCCTCAGAAAAACATGCTTTCTGCTGTTGTTGGATACAGTAGCCTATAGATGTCAATTATATACAGTTAATTAATAGTGCCATTGAGTTTAAGTGGTATTTAAAGTGACTATTGATATAGATGGAGTAATATTACTTTATATTTTCCTGTTTTCTGTGTGTTGCCCTTTTTTCTTCTCAATTTTGTCTCCCACTGTTTTCTGCCTTTTTTAGTTTTGGTTGACCATTGTATGTTTTCATTTTCTCTCTTTGCTTAGCATATCAATTTTACTTTTTAAAAAACTTATTTTTTCTTTTTCGCCCTTTTCAGTGGGTGTTAAAAGAGTTTGCAATATACGTTTACAATTAATCCGAGTCCACTTTCAAGTAACATGGTACCACTTCATGGGTAATATGAGTAGCTTGTAATAAAATGTTCTTAATTTTTTCTTCTTCCTGTCCCTCTATCATTGTTGTCATTCCTTTTACTTATATAAGCATATATTTGCATATAAATATACACAGCATCCTTAATCAAATACATTGTTGATACGGTTATCTTGAACAAACTGTTATCTGTTAAATTGATTAAAATTTTTAAAAATAAAGTTTTTATTTGTTCTTCACTCATTCCTTCTTCTCTGCACTTCCTTTTTAAAAAATGTATATCCAAGCTTCTGTCCGGTATCATTTTTCTTCTCTCTGAAGCACTTTTTTTCTTTAACATTTCTTACAAAGCAGGTGTACCAGCAAGGAATTTCTTCAGCTTTTGTTGGTCTAAGAAAGTTTATTTCACATTCACTTTTGAAGGATAATTTCATAATGTACAGAATTCTAAGTTGGTGGGGACTTTTTTTTTCTCACAACACTTTAAATATTTCAGTCCACTTTGTTCTTGTTTGCTTGGTTTCTGAGCAGTCAGGTATTACTTCAACTATTTCTTCTGTTCCGTATTTTCTTTCTTCTCCCACTGTTCTTTTTTTTTTTCATTTTCTTATATTTCTTGGATATTGTGGGGTTTTTTTCCAGTTTTTTTTTCCTTTGCTTTTCAATTTTGGAAGTTTCTAATGCCATATCCTCAAACTCAGAGATTCTTTCCTCAGCTATGCTCAGTCTACTAATGAGCCATCTAAATCACTCTTCATTTCTGTTATGTTTTTGATCTCTAGAATTTAATAACATTTTCTCTTAGAATTTCTACCTGTCTTGTATTGTCTGTTCTTAGATGCTGTTTACTTTTTCCCTAAATCCCTTAAAATATTAATTATAGTTGTTTAGCAATTGTGGTTGAACAATTCCAACATTCCTGCTGTATCTGACTCTGATTCTGATGTTTGTTCAGTCTCTTCAAATTATGTTTTCGACATTTAGTAAATGTAATTTTTGGTTGAAAAATGGATGTGATGTACTGGGTAAAAGAAACTGCTGTTATTAGCACTTTGGTAAGTAGCGGCAAGGTTTGTGGGGGAGGGGAAGAAGTCTATATTATTATGACTATGTCTCAGTTTTTTGGAGAGCCTCTGCTCCAGACCGTGAGTTTCACTAGCACTCCTTGATTTTCTCCCCCTTAGGTGTGATAGGATGGTAGAACCAGCTGGAGTTGAATATTCCCCTTCTGCTGGTGAAATTTGGCTCTGATAAAACCCCAAAGGGTTAGATTCTGGTAAAACGGCTTCTCTTGATGGCAGACCTTGTTAAGAACAACAGAAAGCACTGTTATATTTCAAAATAGTTACTTCTCTCCTCTTCCTTCTGGAAGCATTGTGGAATTTTTCTCCCCAAAATTATGAGAACTGGTACTATGAGAACCTGGTAGAGGCTCCCAGATGTAAAACTCTCAAAAGTGTGGGGGCCCTCCATGACTGGGTTCCCTTAGAATTTTTAACTCTCAAACTTGTTCCCACATAGCCTCTAGCAATTCATGAATTATAGTTTAGGTTTTCCTATCCTGGTACTGGTTCCCGTGAAGGCTTCTGTTCATGGGTTTCTCCTGTGGTGAGTTGTCATTCTTTGTATTTGTCTGTTTCTCCAATTTGAGGAACAGAAGTTTGCCCTGTGACCTCACTCCTCTCTGATGGATCTAAGAAGGACTGTTGATTTTTCAGTTTGTTCAGGTTTGACTTCTTAGAATGGGGTGGCAACCTCTAAGCTCCTTACATGCCAGAACAAAGGCAGAAGTCACCCTGCCTCCTTTTAAAATATTCACATTTATCTGCAGTATCTGTGGAGTCCCATCAATTTTGGCTATTGATGACTTACAATAGACAAGGTTTGGATTTTCCCATTTTGCAAAGAAAAAAAAGATCATCGGGGATATTTTTGTTATGTTCTGGTACATCTGGTTCTCACTCTGTCCTACAAACTAAAATAGTGAAATCCTGATTGTCAGCCTCTGAGACAGCAGAGGTTTCATTGTGAAGCATGACTCTGCCTTGCCTGTCCCTCCCAATAAACAATTGCTCACTGTGGGCTTGGGGTCCACACCCAAGGTAAATGACTCAGTTGCAATTTCAAAAATACCATAAACAAGCACAGAATATTTGTACAAGGCAATAGAACAATTAAGCTTAGTTTAACCAAGTTGTCTCATTTAATTACTATGGCATTGAATGGCATTGAGCAGAATGCTAAGAGCAGTAAGAATAAGTATTGCCATAACCACTGGAGATACTATTCAGAGTTGAATTTTTGCCCTTAGCACTTATTTTTATTTCCTTCCTCTACAGATTTGGTCCCAGCGCTGGTTAGCCTGTGCAATTATTTATTCCACAGACATTGCTTAGTTTCAATTTATCCCCTTTGAGCTGTAGGAGCTCTAATAAACACTTCTTTTGTTTTGGATTTCAGTTTTCACCACTGAATTTCTGAATCATAGAATCTCTGGAGTTTCATCCTTCTAGTTCCAAAAATATTTAATTAACTATGGATTACAGAGCAAGAGAGTCATTTAGAGTGATGTTAGTCAGAGGAAGCAACTTCAGAGGAGGCTCATACCTGGAAGGCCCATCTTTCACCTTCCCTCTCCCACCTTAGCAAGTTTCTACAATGCCTTCTAGACTTGGTTCCAAGGTCACCTACTCTTTGAGAATGTTCTTAACTGCCCCTGTAAATGATTTCTCCTCTCTGGCCCACAAGTCTCTGCATATGACATAGTGTAGCTTACCTGTACACACATCTGCTTTCTCCCATATACTGTGAGCTACACAATAACAAGAGCCATCTCACCCATCTTTGAGCAAACAGAGGTACCCTTCCTATAATAAAAATACCATTTATTTATTTCAGAAGCTTTCAATAGTTGATACATCTTATATTTTATGAATGTTCCATATGTATTATATATATGTTCCAAACAAGACTGTAAGTGTCCTCAGTGAACATACAATGTGTGTGCCTTCTTTTGGTGTTTTCCTCAGCTCTGGGTACACGTGCTTAGAAAGTAGATGCTATAATTCCCTGTATTGGAATAAGATAGATGGCAATATTTCTGATGAGCCTTCCTTAAGAATTCCCCTGTTTATCACCACTTGAAAGCACTTATTAATTTACTTATACTTAGTTCATATAAAGAAGTTTAAATGGTTTAATCTATGATTTTAGACAGCTAAATATAGGCACACAATTGTTAGCTCCTGGAGGGCAAGGAAGTTGCTAGTTTATCTTGCCTTACAGAGTACATTAAACAGTACAAAGTATTATCACTATTTAAAAAAATACTCTTTTACGACAGGGCTGAGTCATGGGGCCACGGAGCTGATGTGAACAAGCAATGTTCAGACTCAGAGAGTAAAATGCAGAGATACTTTTAGTGTCATTGCATATTCTCCATTCCAGACTCTCTACTGCAAGCTCTTTCTTTGTGATTTGGCCAACCCAACAGAGAAGAACGTTGAGAGGATTTCTTTCTGCACATTCATTGGCAGTAAGTCCAATGTTAATCCATCCTCAGGCTAATGGCCAGTTGGGACCAGAGGTAAACTACTAGTGGCTAACTATTCAAACAGGAAAAATGGTTTGAGACATTGTAAATTCTCACGTAAATTCATTTATGCCAAAACAGGCTAAGTTTCTTTTTCCTAGAAAACCAGGACAAGGATTTTAATCAAATCATTCAGGTAATTGCCTTAATATGTTTTGCCTTTGTGGGAAGCTTTTGACTTTTTACTTCTCGCCTATTTGCTGATGATATGGTAGTAATCTCTTGGAAGACCTAGGCACCTGGCCGGCAGTCATTCTCTCCACCCTCTGGCTTGACACCATCCTGGGTGACTCCAACTGACAACTTTGCCTCAAGGTTCCTTGCCTGCTTCAGCTTCCAGAATTTTCCGCCACCCCAGGCACCCACTCCATGGTCACACCCTAGATCTTATCACATGCAGATTGCACCATCTCTCAAATAAAGTAGTCACAGTCATTCTTAACCATGCATTCCTCACCATCTCTCTCACTTTATTGTTCCCAACACCAGCTCTTTGACTTTAGTGCTTTATTTTATAGAGTCCCTTGTCCCTCTCCCCATTAGGTCCCTCCTGTCTTTACTTAGCTCCTTAGTCATGCCATTACTTCATCCTTTTGTTTACCAGTTTGCTAAAACCTCTATTCTGTGGTCATTCCGCCATTCCTCATTGGAGAAAACCCTACAAACCTTAATACATTCTACTGCTACATTCTCTGCTTTTGCATGCAGCTCACTGACATTTCAAGAGAAAAATCATACAGTGGTCAGAATTGGTCCACTACATATTTATGTCTTTCATTTTGATGGGGCACTTGTGGCTCTCTAATGCACTACTATATTTTTCCTGGTCAACAAGCAATGATTCCATGTAGTATTTCAACAATACCTATGCCTCTCAAAAGTCCATCACCCCACCCCAGAAGCCCCCTCAGCTATTAGCCCGTGATCTTCTATTTAATAGAGAAAACAAATAATGCAACAGTAATTTTCTCAATTTACTTTTATACAACTCAATAGTTTCCTTCTCTTCCCTGTCAAAATGAAAAATATTTTCTTCCTTTTCCCTCTTCTTACAGGCTGAAATCTGATTATTCCCTCTCACTCTTTATTTTTAACGTCTTTCTTTACTGGCACATTTAAATATGCAGATGCATTTTCAGTGGGGGTGGGCAACTCCCTCCCCCTCCACTATTTCTCCCTCTAGTTTTCTGTAGCTGTTTAGAACACATCTTCTCAAAAGAATTGTCTTACTATCTCTGTCCCCGCTCCCAGCCATGACTCAACTTAGCCTTTCATTCTAATTGCTATACTCCAGCAGATCTTTAAGAGACCACAAATGATTTCTGTGAGCATTTGTAAGTCTTTGTCTTACCTAATCTCTCACTAATAGAAACACAACTGATTGCTCCCTTAAAATACTTTCTTTCCATATTTTTTATGTCACCACACTGCCAGGTTTCCTCCAGGTCTTTCTATGTTAATTTATGGTTACTTTGCTGTTTTCTCTTCCTCTGCCAATACCTTTTAAGTTGGTGTGACTCCACATGTGTTTTAGATGCTTTTCCTATGTCATTCCACACTCGTGTAGGAGGCAGAGGAAGAGCTCCTTTTCTAAAGATGTGCTCATTCTAACTGCCAGAACCTGTGAATATGTTACATTACATGGAAACAGGGACTGTGAACATGTGATTCCATTAAGGACCTTGAGATGGGAAGATTATCCTGGATTATCCAGGAGAGCCCAATGTAATCACAAGAGTCCTAATAAGAGAAAGATAAAGGCCAGATAGTCAGTGAAGGAGATGTGATGATGGAAGCAGAGGTCACAGTGATGAAAGCAGCCTCTAGAAGCTGCAAAAGGCAAAGACAGAGATCTTCCCCCCAAGCTTCTGGAAGGAATGCAGCTTTGCTGACACTTGACACTGTTGAGACCCACTTCAAACTCCTAACCCCGAGTACTGTAATAGAACACATTTGTTATTTTAAGTCACTGAGTTTGTGGTAATTGGTTAAAGCAACAATGGATACTAGAACAACCATTTATCTAGACAATCTCTTCTGAGGCTTCAGATTTTATTCTTTTTCCATCTTTGTTCAGAAAGCTAGTTACGGTAACCTCATTGCAGTAACAAATTCACCCCCTAAACATATAATTGCAAATTCATAATATGGTTTAGATGTCGCTTCTATAGCAATATTGGGGAGGTGAAAAAGCCAGTGGAATGGCTCTTCTTTCATCATTCAGTAACTCCGGCAAACAGAGGTCCTGCCTATCTTCAACATTTGGTTTAAAGACAGAAAAAAAGCATTGAAAAAAGGCCATGGAACCATGCACATGGACGGTTTTTACAGATATGGCCCATAAGTGGGGTGTTTTCCTTTTTCCCCTCATATTCCACTGACCAGCTTTTAATCATATGGCATCTACCATCCAGTCGGAAAATGTACAGGGAAATGTAGTCTACTCATGAGCCTATGCTAACAGAAAATGTGGATTTTGTTCAGCAGCTTTTTGAAATACCTCCCAAATCTATAATTCAAAGTCTGACCTATTTGCAGACAACTGGAGCCCCATAGGCAACTTCTTACTGAATAGCTTTGCTCAGAGGCATCTAAGAACCTTGAACTCAACATTTCAAAATTTGAACTCATCATCTTCCCAATATTGTGTCTCCTCCAGTGTTGTTATGTCAGTGAAAGGTGGCTCTACTACCCAAACCAGAAACCTGGGGCCATCTGTGACTTCTCTCTCACTGCTTAATCAATCACCAGGTCAATAAACAGTGAACAGAAGAATTATATTTCAATTCTGTCCATCTCGCCAGCATTATTACCACAACCCTAATCCATTCCCTCACTGACACTCACCTGGACTACTACAAATACCTCATTATTTAGATTCTTCCCTCCATTCTTAATCTCACAAATTCGTTTTTCACATTGTACCTTAAATGATTTTCCACAAATACCAATGCCACAGTTCATATCATTCCTTAGTTCCAAACATTTCTAAACTTTCCCAGTATTATTGACATCAAAATATAATATAATGTGCAAGACCCTCCATGACCTATCTTCTACCTGTGTCTCCTGCCTCTTCTCCAGTGCCCATACACCACTGTGTACTGTTGTCATACCAAACCTTGCTGCTCCCTCAAGGCTCCATGCTACCTCTTGTTTCTAGATCTTTATACATCCTGTTCCCCTGCCTGGCTCCTTCTCCCTCTGTCCTGAAACTTTACCAGTCAAGTCCAATTTGTTTTCCAGATTTCAGCTCAAATGGCCTTTTCTCTGAGAAACTTTCTCTAATATCTCACAAGAATATATAGCCTATTTCACAATCCATTGTCTGTCTTTCCTGAGGTTCTGCAAGTTATGTAAGGTCAATGAAAGAGTCTGCCTCATTTTTATTCCAAAGGCCTAGTCTACCACCTAGAACATGATAGCGCTGAGTAAATACTTGTTGAAAGAATGAAAAGATTATCATGTATGTGTATCTAGGGCTTATAAAGCTAGGTAAAGAATAAAACATTTATATTCTCATTACTGAGGTCCAATTCCCACTTTTACTTTTAATTTCTTTACTGGTTAAAATTAACATTAATAAAAATAATAACTGCTATGATGGCATAATCCTCAATCACAAAGAGCAATTACATTTTCTGTATACAGATATAGTTAGCAAATTAACTCATTTATAGTTCTTCAAAGGGACACAACAGTAACAGAAGCCACCACTCAATATAAGACTACTTTGTGAATAAACACCAAAACAAAAGTTGTTTTCTAATTCAAGAAAATGCTTGCATGTGTGTGTGTTTGTGTGTGTGTGTGCTTGTGTGTATGTGTGCTGTCTTAGTCTGTGCTGCTATAACAAAATACCTGAGATTGGGTAGTTTATAAAGGTCAGAAATTTATTTCTCATACTTCTGGAGTGCAGATAGTCCAAGATCAAGTTGCCAACAGATTCAATGTCTGGTGAGGGCTGTTTCCTGCTTCCAACATGAATCAGTGCTGCAGCGACCTCGCACAGCAAAAAAGCAAATGCTGTGTCTTCACATGTTAGATGGCTGAATGGCAAAAAGGGCCTACCTAGTTTGTTCTAGCTCTTTTATAAGGTTGCTAATTCCATTTATGAGGGTTTCACCCTCATGATTTAACTTAAAGCCCCCACCTCTTAATATTATCACATTTGGGTTTCAAGTTCCAACATATGAATTTTGGAAGGACATATACACACAAGCCATAGCATATGTATATCTATGTATATGTACACATATTTTCTTTGTATATAGTTTCCTTTTAACCCAACCTCGTGAGTTTATAGCAGCAGAAAAAATATATAAATTTTATGATTCCTAAATTACTATCTAAATTTGAGCCATCTTTTAATTCAGGAAAGACCTAACATAGTTAGTACCAATAAGGAATTTGGTCCAACACTCTTTTATGTGACAAAAGAAGAATAATTATTTGTGAAATCATCATGGCCAATATGCTCTTCATTTTTCTAACTCAAAGTACACTCATCATCTCTAATTATGGGGGATAAAGTGCATTTTATCTAACTTCAAGCTTGCAAGCATTTGCTTAGAAAATCATTTTTATGTGGGAATTCTTTAAAGAACACTTAATAAATAATTAAATATATTTTGATGCCTCCAACTATGTTAATATGAGGTTAAGAATAAGATTTCAATTACACCAACGTCTGAAAGCTCAGAATTATTATTCCCAAGGAAATTATAATCTATCTCCCTGGTGTACAATTCTGTTTTCATAAGAAGTTCTTTTAACAAAAGACAATGCAATCTTTTACTTGACAGATGAAGCAATTCAACAAAATATTATGGAAGAGAATAAATCTATGTAAGATTTAGGGGCTTTGATTTGCATTTAAATGGCATAATTCCTGAAAACTTGTCTGAGGCCATTTCCAATGGAGAGTTTAATAAATGATGGGAAAATATTACTGACTGTAAAAATATGTGTACAATAAGTCTTCAATGGAAAATGTAGAAAATTTTTTATTGGCAGATGAATAGAAAACATTTTTCTGATGAGGCCAACCCAGCTAGTGCCCCCAAGTCAATTTCTCCTCCAAGTAATTTGGTGAGTAGTTTGATGTTCTTGTCTATGGTAGCATTCTCACAGTTTTCTTTGCATTTGGGACAGTAAATTGTTTAATAATCAGATTTTTAAAATTTGTTCTGACTTAGCAACTCTGAGCTGTTTAAGGGAGCCACAGACAGATCTATTCACAAAGAAGGCAAGGGCAAACAAATGAAAATTAAAATGTGGGGAAAATGGCTTTTAGGAAATGAGGAGGAAGAATGAAAGAAGTAGAAAGACCAAAAGAAAAAAATGGAACAGTGCACTTGAATAGGATAAAAGTCCACCTGGAACTGCTTTTGATTTTTCTCAGTAGCAATAGTTCTAAAGATTAACTACTTTGGATCTGGCACATCAAATACAGCTTTGGAAGATTCTTGGCTCTGCCTAGGCTCTCTGCATGGGGTAAGGAATGGCTATCTGCTTCACCATTGCAGGTCTAATCCAGCAGACCCTTGGCCGAACTAATCAGCTCTGTTCCATCAGTGTGAGGACAGAAAGTTGATTGAGTATGAGTATTGCTGAACTTGTACTGAGGAATTATCCTGAAAATTTTAGTGAAAATATTCACTTACTTAACCATGATTTTTGAGTTTCCAACATGTGCCAGGATTATAATAGATTTTTGGAATTCAAATAAAAATAATAAATACACACATAACATTCACACTTGCCTAATATTCTTCTGAACACTTAATATAACTCACATAATTCTTGCAATAATCTAATGAAGTAGCTGTTGTTATTGTCCCCATTTTATAGATGAAGAAACTGAAGCATAGAATGGTTCTATGACTTGTTCAAGGTAACACAAATAGTTGAATGGTGGAAGTCTTACCAAGTGGGACCAATCAGAGAGACACAGAATATCACATGCAGTGTGATGGGGGATGTAATACCAATATGTGTAGGTGGTGGCAGAGAGGCAGAGATAGTGCTAACACAGAATGAGGATGTCAGAGAAGACTTCTTGGAAATAGGGTGCCTGATCTAAGTCCTAAATAATGGAGAGGAGTTCGACAAGAGAAGAATGAAGAGAAGATTTTCAAGGCAGACAAAGAACATGAGGAAAATCCCAGAAACCAGAAAGAACACAGGTGTTTGAAGAAAAGCACAAGCAACACTGGAATAGGAATATATGGTGAGAAGTGGGAGGTGGAAATAAGAAATGTGGTAGAGAAGTGACTACCACCCAAGCCCTGAAAAGCCTTGTTCACCATTCAGACAACTGGGAGCCATCAAATGAATTCAAACTGAGGAAAACATATATGGCTCTTAATATTAACATAAACACTCAATATAACTGTTGCTTATTTGTTAACAGAAGTTTTTATAAATTTAGTCAGCTCTTGGTTTTAAATCCTGCCTCCTACTTAATCTCTGACAGTGGGTGAATCACTCTCCTGGCTTCTACTGCCTTTTTGTAGAGCAGGCTAATTATACAGCTCACAGCAGGATGTTAGGATGAGGTGAGATCACACTTAGAAATGGCTTAAGAAATGGAGATGCCCATGATGTGTATGA
Organism: Homo sapiens; assembly: GCF_000001405.40. Taxonomy (NCBI): domain Eukaryota; kingdom Metazoa; phylum Chordata; class Mammalia; order Primates; family Hominidae; genus Homo; species Homo sapiens. The sequence goes on from NC_000013.11 coordinate 79,995,600, forward strand.
CACATCATAGGAAGAAAGGATAAAAGTAAAGAGTTTATTTCAGTTACTCAGCTGTGACACAATGATGGCCTAAACAAGTGATTCTCAATGGGTTGTAGGTGGGGTTTATTTTCCCCCTTGTAGGGGACACTTGGCTATATTTGAAAGCATTTTTGGTTGTCACAGCTAGGGGTGGGTGATACATCCAGTGGGTAGAGTGCAGGAATGCTGCTAAGCCTTCTACAATATATAGGGACATCTTCACACGAAAAGGAATTATCCAATTTAATATACCAATAGTGTCAATGTTGAGAAACCCTGTCCTAAGCTAAGGGAGTAGGAGTGAAGATGGGATGAAGTAAGGAGATACTGAAGTATAATGAAGCTAATTCAAAAAGCCTTTGTAAATTGTCTTGATGTGGAATGTGCCATAGTTCTAAGAATGCAGTCTAAGTAGTTTATCCTAGCACCTACGTGCCTTACACCTAGGTGTTACTCTAAAGGATTTATAGAGTGAAAGAAGGAATGAGTACATGAATGAATGAAGAAACAAGAATAAGGAATGACCTCCAGTTTTTTGGCTTGGATCATTCAGTTAATGGTGATGACAGCCCCTGCGATACAGGACTTTGGAAGAGGAGACAGTCTTGAGAAAAAAAATGGTGAATTATGGACTGAATTTGAGATGTTTAAGACAATGATTTAAAAGCACATATGGACCCAAATGTTCAATTGTTCAATGCTTCTACTGTTCAACATACCAAATGGGGTACAAATAAATTTAATGGAAATCCTCATTGAAAAGAGCCTTTGAAAATAATATTAGATATTTAAACGATATAACCAAGAATAAATTCAAGTTGTTTTTATAGTTAGAGAAATCTACATTTTTACGTTTATTAATTTTTCTAAGGAAACCACATTTTAAAATGCAATTTGTGGTCTTTGGGTGCTAAGAATTTTCTCTCATCACTCTTTGTTGTCTAACCTCACTATTTTGGCTCTGAAGTGAAGTTTAAAAACCTATTTTTGCCATTTAAGCACTAGAGACAGTGTGATTTCTCTCACCCACCGATGTGTTTACTTGTGACTTCTCTATGCTAATTCTTTCCCCAAAGTCATGTTGTCCCCAAAGACCCATATGCCATTGACCAATGGCCCCTAAAATCAGAGTGGAGACATTTGTCACAAGCACTCTTTTTGCCCACACTAAGGGGGTGCCACTCAATGGCCTTGTTGAATAGTTTCTACATCACTGGTAAAGCACAAGAAATCTACAGATTCTAGTGACATTGAGGTCACTGCCACTGCCCTGTTCATATCCTTGTCACTTCCACTGTGGTCATAATGCTGTTCTTTACACATGCCTTTGCCATAAAGTGAATATAGCTCTTTCTAAGCCTCTTTTTTACTCCAAAAGCCACCCTGCTCTTTCAATTTATAAAGCATTACCTAAAACCATTTAGAGAAGCTTCTGTAGAGGCTGGGTCAGAGTGAACTTGCAAAATGATGCATACCATATCCAGAAAAGAACTCATGAATCTTGAGTCTTCATTATCTCAGAGTGGGTTCCTTGCAGGCTGAGCGCCTGCTGTTGGGTGGAATTTACCTCTCCTTTCTGTTCAATGGTGTTAATCTCAGTGGCTTTTATGTGGCCAGAGATCTCAGCGATCATCAGTTCCTCCTTACTACACTTTCTAGAAACTTTTGGAGTCTGTTTTTCTTCTGTAGACATAGCCCATGCAGCTTGTGTAACCGTTAAATTTATTCCACATACATGTCTTTCAGAACAAACAAATGAGCAGATCCAAGCAAACTCTATCCTGGCCCCTAGCTGCTGAACCAATTGTTTATCCATATGGTGACAGAGCAGAGGAAGTAGCTTGCTGGGAAAGTCTGAGGATTCTGCCAGGAGGCTGTAGGCATTTGGGCTATCGCCTAGACAATCAGAACTACTATGTCTGCCCAAGCTGTATGGTCACTGTTGGGTTTCTCTAGGGAAGAATCCAGGGACAAAAAGTTTTAAAGTTGTAATGCAAACAGGACATAGGAGAGACTGGTGATATCTCAGCCTGGTGAAGGTGGACATCCAGTATATCCCCCATACCTGTACTTTCCTATGTAACTTCCCAATTAATTATATTTTATTCTTCCATTTGTATTGGCTAGAATTTTATTCATGAGCTATCTACATCCACTGACTCTTTATTACACTTTAAGTTCTAGGATACATGTGCACAACGTGCAGGTTTGTTACATATGTATACATGTGCCATGTTGGTGTGCTGCACCCATTAACTCATCATTTACATTAGGTATTTCTCCTAATGCTATCCCTCCCCCCTCCCCCCACCCCACGACAGGCCCTGGTGTGTGATGTTCCCCACTCTGTGTCCGAGTGTTCTCATTGTTCAATCCCCACCTATGTGTGAGAAAATGCAATATTTGGTTTTCTGTCCTTGCGATAGTTTGCTCAGAATTATGGTTTCCAGCTTCATCCATGTCCCTACAAATGACATGAACTCATCCTTTTTTATGGATGCATAGTATTCCATGGTGTATATGTGCCACATTTTCTTAATCCAGTCTATCATTAATGGGCATTTGGGTTGGTTTCAGGTCTTTGCTATCCACTGACTCTTAAACCCAACAGAATTAGCTATTTAAAACATAGCCATGGGGTCATTATGCATCTTGTTTTCCATTGTCTGTATTATGTAACTTTAGGACACTAAATGCCACCTAGAAGAACCTTCATAAACACATTTGAAAGGGAGTAGTGATCAGACTGCATTCTTTCATTATGGCGTAAAATTATTCTTGGTCAGACTTTTAAATCCTAAATCTATCGTGTGATTTCTGTGGTCAGGAGATTTAACAATCTTGCTTTTCAAAAATATTGAGGCATCAGGAAGAAGGCCCTGAAACTCATGCAGATGTCAGCACCTTTATTTATAAGAACTCACACTGCCGTCATGGAAAACATGCTAATGCCAGAAAGAGGGAGGAAGAGATTAAAGGAGCTGGGAACAACAAGTTGGAGCTGGATTTCTTGGTGGTAGTGTGTGCATGCACACATAGAAGGATGTCAAAAGCATTTTTCAAGTTTTTAAAAAATCTAGCAAAAGAACATTTTATCCATTTGTCAGGACTGAGAGCTCTGCTGCCTCAATTGCATTAGCTTTTTGTTCATTTTTAAGTGACTGAAATGATGAAAACAAGTTCCTTGTGAAGTCTCGCCAAGAAGCATCAGGGAAAACAGTATCTGTTCATGTATTGGATCAGAGTTCACTTTCTGGTGGAGTATTTTCATGTCAAAACGAGTATCTCTGTGGTTATGAAGTCTTCTTTTTGTCAGCTATTCAACTGCTACCAAGGACTGCAGGTTTATTTTTTTCTGTTTTTCTTTTTCATTTTAAAATTTCTTTCATTGAAAGAAAGTAAACAAAAGAAGTCATTGGTTTAACAGAAATCCTAACACGATACTGAGAAAAAGATGTTTTTTGTGATCATATGATTGAAGTTCTTCCTATGAAGGATTAATCTGGTTCCGGGAATAATTCTGGGTTTTTATATTCATTTTTGTGATGTTTAAAGAGGCTTTGGTATAACATTGCACCTCAAGAGGTCTGTAAAGTTGTTAAAATATTAAGAAATACATAATTGTTAAAAGACTAGTTCTTAAATGAAATCCCTCCTGGAATATGCAAATCTTTTAAGGCTGCAAGGCAACAGTGATGCATTGAGGACTGATGCAGCTCAGTTCATTTAGAACACACCATATACATCTTTATTATGGGAATTTAGTAAAGAAATCTTACAATAATAGAAAATATTTGGCTTTATACTGCAAATAAAGTGATTTTTATCCAATTTGTTAAGATCTTTCAGAGATTCAATATCCTGCTCAGCCTTAATTTGATACTATAGTAAATATGTGATTTGAAAAAAAAAAAATCTATGAAGTTTAGTTGAGTGTAATGTGATCTCTCATTTTGCATTGGACTCTTTGTTACTCACTGGATTCATTTGATGTCATTAAGGAACACAATCCAAATTCCAACTCTGAGCTAATGTGGTATGGATAGTCTTTGTAGTGAATGTTGATAAAATGAGATTTGTCTGCATTCTGAATCCCCAAATGCAAAAAGAGGAACCTGCTGTGGTATATGCAGCAGGAACATTTCAGTCAAACACACAATCAATTAGTGTGGACTTTGACTCCAAATTCCAATGAAATCCGGAACTTGCTGCACTTGACTGGACCATATGTTAACCTTTGAACTTCTATCTAGAAGCCCCTAGCTTTGAACCTAGATTTTGAGCTAATCCAAGCAGCCTGCTTTATTGCTTTTGCCTGAGAACCACCCAGTTTTAACTGGTATTTTAAAAACTCCACCTGTGTCTTTGGCTTATCTTAAAATATTTTTTCCTGAGAAGTGTGTTCCACTGGAATAGAACAGAGATGGTGAAGAGCTAGGTATGATGCAGAAACACTGAGCAATCTCTAGAGTTTAGAGACTATAGCCACAAGCCTCTCAATCTAAGACAAGATAATCAAACTGAACTTTGAGCATTGATGAGCACTGGGTTGACTTTTGGTAGGCCGAGGCTGGGGCAGGGAATTCAATGTACATTGAGTTGGTCAAGGCTTCCTTTCTCTCCCTTGGCCCCTTGGACTCTGCTCGCTTCCTCTGAATCTACATGGGAGCCAAGATTGTATCCTGTAATATGACATGATGAGATTTGCATTTCAGAAAAAGGACCTAGATGTTTTCTGAGTGACAAATTAGAAGGGGAAAAGACTGGAGCCAGTGCAATCAAGGCCATTAAAATATTCCAGGTGAGAGACCCAAAAATAACAACACAAGGCAAGAGAAGCAGATAAAAGAAGAGTTAACAAAAAACGACTCTCAAAACATGGCAGAAGATCTTCAAACACGGGGAGAAGGGCTTTTATTTTCTGACCTTATCAAATGGCATAGAAGAAAAGTGCATAGGAATGCAGCAAACCAAATATCTAATGTTAAAAATATTTCAAAGTACAGCAAAACATGGTAATAAGATGTAGAATAATCCAAAATATAAGGAGTTTGCTGATGCCTCTTTATACTTTCCCTAAAAACTCAACTACGACAAGTATTGATTTTATATTTCATAGCAATAACTCTTCCCTTTGCACATATTTTGATAAAGTCCCTCCTGTAACATACTATGTCTAAATTATTCATTAGGTTGCTTTGCTTCTGCCTGTAGCATTTGCTCTTCCGTGGTGGTTTCTACCATCTGAGATGGTGGTTCCCTAGCATATAAAAGCAAGAGATCGTTATCATCATTCCTCAGGCTTCATTATTATTTCACAGGATGGACTGCCAAAGACAAAGTATAAATATCCCTTTCTTACTGTTTATTACCAGTCACATTTTTTCTCATATTCAATTTTTCTTCTTCCCTTCCAAGAAATCTAAATAGGAGTAGGAATTGATTTTGGAAAAATGTTCCTTAAATGGTAAGAAATAGAAAACTATTCCCTGAAATATGACATCTAAATCTTCATTTGATGTTTTTTAGATAAAACAAAGATTTATGCCTTGTCTTTAGGGGAACATGACAGGAAATGAGTATTTTTTGTTTGGCAGGAAAAAAAATTCACCATCTTTCAGTGCCTAGAATGAATAAAACATCTAAGATTTCTGGCTTTGCAAGACCTTTTACAGTTTAGCAGAATCAAGAGAGGAAAACTTCACCTGCAATTTTTGATACTCAACCTGACAGGACATGGGCTGCAACTCGCAAAAAAACAAAAAATCTAATTGAAAGATTTATCTTCTGGAAGAAATCCATGCAGATATAGTGGTTAGATAAAGCAGGATGGAATAGCACACAGTTGAAACTAGTTCTTATATTTTTCATGTAATGGCATTCTTTTGTTCCTTGTATTAAATATTCTAAATAGTCAGTTTCACTCTCTTTATTAATTGATGGAATTAAAGCAGGCTAGATTTTTTTGTGCCCACATGTCATTTCTGATTGGCCTACTTTGAAAGCTTACTGGGGCATGAAAAAAAAAATCATCACACACACAATGCTTTCTTTCTGGGCAGTCTAAGGAACACAAGACTGGAAACAGAAAATGGGAATGTATTCTGAAAATCACATTAGCAAATTATCATTTTCAGAAGTAAAAGCCCAGTTAGACCCAGTGTTTAGACTCAGTATCTCCTGTTTAACCTCATATAGAAAGCACATCATATTGAAGCCCTCTGTGGTCATAGAGAACGTTGCTGATGGTGTGATTTTTCCTATAGGCAAGCCTGAAAGAAAAGCCTGATTTTTGTGATTCAGCCTTTGCCTTCAGACAGGGCAAGCTTCATGGAGTAGTCTCTCATGGCCCAGCAGCTAGAAGGGCACTTTTCCTGGTTTAATGCTCTGCTGTTGCTGAGTATTAAAATTCTTAGTAATTTTTGAACAAGTCCTGCATTTTTATTTTGCACTGGGCCCCTTGAATTATGTAGCCAGTCCTGCCTGCTGGATCTATGATTTTGCAGCTTAGTCCTTTTGCTTCATAATGGCACGACATCTTTTAGTTTTTCCCTTTTTAATTGCACAGTATCAGTTTTTGGGCTGATTTATTTGTACATATGAACTTGAACCACTCATGGCTTCTGGATACCAGGGTGTTGTTTTTCTTCTATTTTTTGATTGGAAATAGCTTCCCCTCCCCTCAACATACACACAGTTTAATAACATGGCATATTAGCTGTAGGTAATGATGTGAAATAGAATTCTAAAGCTGACTTCTATTATAAATACTGAATACATTCCTGTGGCTTCAGTCCTCTGATTAAGATAGAGTCTCTGTGCATGTTTCGTATATTCACTTGCTTTTTACCTGATGATCTCTCAATGCTTACTTGCTTCAACTTTTAGGCTGTGTCTCAATGAGCTAGTTCTATCAAAACTGTGCCTCAGAAAAGACTTAAAGAGTGAAGCCAGATGTTCAGAGACATTATGATTAACTTCTTTTTCCTTTTAAACCACTTTTCAATTTTAAAATGCTTTCTGTGGAACAGACTTAATTCTTTGCCCAGTAATGCATCATTTCAAACAAGATGAACTGAATTAAAATCTAGTAATTGTCTCTTGTATATCTATTCAGGGACTTCCTGTTGCTGAAATGGTTAATGCTTTGGATTTTTTTTACATTACAAGGTTTCTGCTAATTAGATATGGTTAATTTACCCATATATTGGTTTTTTAGAAACTGAAATAGCCTTTTACATTTTGACATTGATTTAAATCAGCTTCTGAAACTCCATAAAAATACCTGTTGGGATTCTGATTAGGAGTACATGAAATATATAGATGAATTTGTGGATAAATGATCCTTCTACCCTAGCGAGTTATCTAATTCATGAACACAGTATACTATGTTTCTTGGTTTCACCTCTTTTATACTATTGTTAGATACAACCCTAGATATTTAAAATTTTAATATTATGGTAAATAACATTGCATTGATTTAAACTTTTATTTTCTAATTATTTGTTGGTATTTTATAAAAGTACAACATATTTTTGTACATTGACTTAGTATCCGTTCACTTTGATAAGTTCACTTATAGACTAATATTTGTCTTTTGGATTTTCTATGTCCATTCTCATGTCTTCTAAAATAGAGCCCCCTTATCTGTGGAAAATACATTCTTAGACTTCTGGGGAAGCCTGAAACTGCAGATAGTACCAATCCCTATTTATACTATGTTTTTTCCTCTATCTGTATACCTATGCTAGAGTTTAAATTGTAAAGTAGGCACAGTAAGTGATTAACAACACTGGCTGATAATAAAATAGAACAATTATAACAGTATACTGTAATAAAAGTCAATGAGCTTTCTCTCTCTCTCAAAATATCTTATTGTATTATACTCACCTATTAGGTTGGTGCAAAAATAATTTTGACATTAAATGTAATGGCAAAAACCACAATTTTGCACCAACCTAACAGTCAACTATGGGTAACTGAAACATTGGAAAGCAAAACCACAGAGCAAAAGGGAATGTTGTATATTCTATTTTATTTTTCTTCACTTAATTGCATTGACAGGACTTCCAGGACAATGTTAGATGGAAATTGTGAGGGGGCTAGCCTTACCTCCTCAGATATCCATATTTTGGAAGAAAATTTTCTGATATTTTATCAACTATACTATAAGTTTTCTTTGAACATATTCTTTATTACATTAAATTTTTTTAAATATTTTGTTTTGATAAGGGAGATTGTTCCTGTTTTGTTTTGTTTCAATCATAAATACATGGTTCCTTTTCTGTTTTTGCATTATTACAGTGGTTGCATGCTTAATTCTGTTAATGTAGTTAATTACACTGATTCAGAATGCAATCAACTTGCATTTTGATTTAAACTCAATTTTGTGGGGATGTGTTAGCTCTTTTCCATATTGTTGGGTTCGATTTGCTACTATTTTAATTCAAATGTTTGTGACTGTATTCACAAGAGAGACTGATATATAATTTCCCTTTTTTATGTTTTTGTCAGGTGTCGGTGGCAAAATTATAATAGCTTCTTAATAAGTTGAGAAATATTCCCCCTTTTCTAGACTCTAAAGTAGTTTGTGCAGAATTGAAATTCTTTCTTCTTAAATTTTTTAGATAGATTCTCTTTTGAAGCACCTGGGCCGCCAAGAGTTTTCTTTGAAGAAAGGTTTTAAATTTTTAATTCAGTCTCTTTCACAGATAATGGCATCATTCAGATTTTCTATTTTTTTGTATCAATTTGGTAAGTTGTTTTTTAAAAGAAATTTATCTAATTATAAAATTAATTGATATAAAGTTGTTCATAACCTCTTACTATATTTTAATGTGTGTAATACTGTTTTCTTTTTATTCCTGATATTAATAATTTGTCCTGTCCAGGCGTGGTAGCTCAGGCCTGTAATCCCAGCACTTTGGGAGGCCAAGGCAAGCCAATCACTTGAGGCCAAGAGTTTGAGACCAGCTTGGCCAACATGGAGAAACCCTGTCTCTACTGAAAAATAAAAAAATTAGCTGGGTGTGATGGCATACGCCTCTAATCACCCCTACTCAGGAGGCTGAGGCATGAGAATTGCTTGAGCTTGGGAGGTGGAGGTTGCAGTGAACCAAGATTGTACCACTGCACTCCAGCCTGGGCAACAGAGTGAGCCTCTATCTCAAAAAAAAATTATTAATAATAACTCGTTTCTAATATTTTTCTTCTTACCATTTTCTTGATCAGTACTGCAGGGGAATTATAAATTATATTAATGTTTTCAAAAAACAACTTTTGGCTTTTTCTCTTTCCCAGTTGAATATTTTTTATTTTTTCAAGTACTGCTCTTTTTTTTTTTTTTTTTTTAAAAGGCTATTTCCTTTCTTCCTCCTATTTGTGCTTAATTTGTTCTTTTTTTCCAGATTGCTGAATTGGATGCTTAGATCATTGGTTATTATCTCTTCCCTGCTCTTCTAGTACATGTATTTAAGGCTTTAACAATTCTCCTCTAAGCACGACTTTTTCTACATTGCACAAATGCCTTTCAGTTACAAATATTTTCTAATTTCCTCAATTAAAACTTTTATTTTATCTCTGCAGTGCAAGGAGAATACTACAAACCCTATGCCACTGTTTTCTGTTTTGCTTCTGTGTTCTGTGCCAGAAACCAGCCTATTCCTCAAAGGCTCATAGGGCTTACCTCAAAGTATCTCCCTCTTCTCTAGAATATTGGCTCATTCCATAAGGATTCAGGATCTTGAATCCTTAAGTCCTGGCTGCATTGGTTTCTTTCTGTAACCATGAAATAACTATTTATTTTATTTTATTTAGAGCAGATTTTACAGCTGTTGAAGCAGGAGTTCCTCTCCAATGTGTTAAAATTTTACCAGTAAGATCTGTTTCACCTCTGCTTATGTTACAGTACATATTTGTTCAACTCATTATTATCTAGAGAATGGCAATCTAGAAATAGCAAGATTATTTTTGAAAATGTTTCGATTAAAAATTAGATTAGTTGTACTATTTTCCCTTTTCACATTGTGTACATGTGTGTATTCCTTTAATATCTGGTCTTATCACTTACAAAATTGTAACTTTTTTGAAGGATTGCCATGGCAAAAACTGTGTTTTGGAGAGGTCTCAACCACTAATCATTTTGGGATTTCATCAAACCTGTGTATTCCTTTTTTGGTATATCAATATGTGAATTGCTGTGTAAGGGATGACCGTTGAGAACTCCAACTAAGGAGGTTAAAACTTCAGAAAATGTTATCTGCTTCATAGCTGTAGGTCAGCACCTTTAAAATGTTTTTATTTGTTACATTGCAAATTTTTTCTTCCTACTGAAAACATTTCAGACTGCTGTTGGTTGGTTGGTTGGTTCTATGCATTATCTTTGCATAGAATGAATAATCCTTATAAATGTTCAGTACTTTAATGTTACTTTTGGGAATGTCTCAATCATAAAACAGGTCATTTATCCATCATGTACAAATGAGTGAATTATGATGTGGTCACTTGGATCTAGGGTCCATTTGTGATTATTTCCTTTATTCATTAATTCATTAACCAGGAGACAAGACTTTTGCTGCCAATGTTTTATGCTCTTTCTAAGAAACAGCAAGCTCATATTTTCTCTTCTGTGCTGGCTTGATATAACTTCTGTCTCTTCAATTACATCAAATGACTCTTTGTTTATTAAGTTTTGCAGCCTACTTTCTCCCTGAAAGACCCTGGATTCAGGATAGCAACCTTCTGAGTGCCTTCTAAGCCATGTTTTTGTCCAAGTGGGTTCAGGTTATATGTACTGAATATCGAGGACAGTCTCGAAAGAGAAAGGCCACAAAAAATAATATCATGCTGTCTGAAGAGTGGAAGGGGAAGAGCCAGGTATCTTGTCAGTTTGTCTCGGGCCTGAAAAAGGACTTATGTTCTGGTTATGTATGTTAGGCCTAGAGAGTGATGAGACTTATTCAAGAGGTCACTCAAGAAAATCATATTTTTCTTGCCACACCAAATAGCTTTAGGTCCTTCTTAGGAACTGACATCAGCAGCAATTTCTTCTCCTTCGTTCTGAAAGACTGACTCCCTGGGCTAGCTATGATGCTCCCCATCATTTTCCACCCAACTGGAGCTATGAATGGAGGATCACTGTGGGAACAAGGTGCATGCAGGTATGATTAGGTATGGCTGGACAGAGAAGGCTTAGGAACTGAGGATACGCATGGCATAGAGAAGCTTCCATGGCATAACTTTGACAATTATAGCATTTTGTTCTCTAAAATTATTATTGTTCTCCTATTGAAACAGGTCCAAAAGAGAGTTCATTAATTTCTCCAAAAGCTTTTGCACTCTTGTCACTATCCAAACCAAAAACAAAACTGGTGATCGCGCTGTAGAGCAACTGGGGAAAATTGATTGTCAGGATGAAGACAGGGGAGAAAACGTTATGAGAAAAACACAGGTTGCCTTGCTGGGACTGTTTTTGGAAGAAAAATTGTTTTGGAAGGTTATTGTCAGTGATGACAGTGTGAAGGATGAATCAGAGGAGCCAGCGAACAATTGTATCTGACCAGGATGTGGCTAAAATAATAAAGGAAAGCCAGGGATGCTGCATTTTATTAATATTACCTCTATTGCTTTCCAACATTTTTAAAGGCTGGGATACTTATATATGAAGTAAAGCCTAAATAGTTTGGATTTTTATGGAAAAACATAAACATGCATTTAGCAAATGCATGGTGCCTCTAGTGCGGTTGCAGTTTATCAAGTATCTGTTTACTTCTATAGTTCCCTACAAAATAACTAATGAAGATGCTCGCTCCGAGTCCTTCTTCCTCTGCTCACACAAATGGTGACAAATTTCTTTATTATAAAATAAGATTATTAAACTAGACAATCTCTGAAGACCTGACAGCTTTGATAGTTGAGGCTCTGCTTTTGTGAAACCTGAGGTTTTGTGACTTCTCATGCAGTTTAAATATCGAGTGACATTTTCACAGTACTCAGAGACAGCTCAGGTGACTTCTGGATCTTTTTGTTACTTCCAGCAATGATGGAAACTGCCAGATGCTTAACATTAAACTTCATTTTTTCCAAGTGGATGCCAGTGCCTTACAGCTCGAGATCACAATTGCTTTTTGGAATATTGTGTGATAACTGATACCATAGCAGTGCCAGCCATTTCAAAAGAAATGTGACACTTGTTACTTGCCTCGAGAGGGCAATTCAGGGACAGGCAGGGTGGACCTTACTGGATTAAAATGAAGCTTACTGATGAAGCGTAACTCACAAAGCTTATGCCAACTGTTTTCTTTTGGCAGGTCACCAGTGCCACTTAGCTCTCAGTTTAGCAATTATAGGTGCTAATTGCTTTGAAGTTTATCAATCTACCTAAAGGCAAAAGCAATCATCTGCTTAGTTAGATTATTATTCACATCAAGATCATTAATGTGTCTTTGCCCATCAGAATAATGTGTAGTTTGGTAAAATGAAAAGAAACTTGTGTTAGGAGTTAAAGATCTGGGACCTAGAATTTCATCATTTATTTTCTGGGTGTCCTTGGAAGAAATTATTTGTTTTCTCTTGGCCGCTATCACACTTAAAATTTAGAATAATCCCTATGCAACTTTATTTATATTTTCTAAGATTATTGAAAGAATGCATTACTTACAGCTACATGTAATAGGTTAATTAATATTTTAACAAATTAATAAATAAATATATTTTAAATTTTTTTTCACACAAAAAGCAAGTAAAAGAGCCAGAGGGAACACCTAGTTTTACCCTCTAGTTTTATAGGTAACTAAACTGAGACTCAAAGAATTTCATTAACTTAAGCAATGTTTTCACGTTAGTGGAAATAGAAATTCAATGTGCTTTCCATTAGGTCACATTTGTTCTATTTTGAAGATCAAAAGAGATAATAGATGAAATCTATAATATAGAAATGATAATATACTATACTGAGTATTTGAATAGCATATTAGCAAAGGAGAGTAGGTAATGGCATCTTTATTTTCCAAATAAAAAAACAAATACATAGGTCAATTGAAAGATTACTGGGGTCAGCTATCAAGGGTAATGGGTTGGGTTTTTGTTGTCTCTCCCTGATAATATACAGTGTGCTTTCAGTAGGGACGAAACTTACTAGTCACTAAGTGGCAGCATAGAATAATGAAAACAGCATAAGCTCTTGAGGCAAGCAAAGTTAGGTTGCAAACCTGGGCCCATCCCCTACTAGCTATATCACTTTGGGTAAACACTCAGTATCCCTGAATATGGCATTCCTCAGGAAAAAAAAACCAGACATATCTTATTAGTAATGATACTACTAAATATTTATGGAATGTTTATCATGTGATAGTTACTGCTTTAATAGTTTACTATTACTGTTTTAATAGTTTTAAATGTATTAACTCATTGAATCCCCAGAATAGAATTATTGTGAAAGCTATGTGAGAAGATAAAATATGTAAAGCACCTGTTATAATCTTCCTTCCTCTTACATACTACCGGTAAGTTTGATATTCATGCTAGTGAACATGGCATGAACATCAAACTTACCTAATTTGAGTCACTGTGGAAAGAGTAGGGGACCCACATGTCGCAAGCATATGCCATGGCAAATGGGACCCCTACTCTTTCCACAATGACTCAAATTAGGATGCATAAGAATGGGAAGAGAAAATATAATGATAGTGATTGTTTCCTATATATCACAATTTGGAGATAAATAATCGATCTTTAGTGTTTTTGCCGAGCATTAATGACAGTGATGCCCTGGCAATGCTCTGCTGTAACATCATGGTCATCTCCACTTAATCTGAAAGAAAAAAATCATTTCCACGTATGTGTTTTTAAATTTGTGTTGTTGATGTTTGTCCATGAGTAAGCAAAAATATCTTTCCTCTAACAAATGTCTTCTGATTAAAATATAGGCAAACCACATTCATTATATAAGCATATATCATCTGATTCCTGCAATTTGATCTTTTTTTAAAAAAAAAAAGCATAAGGAGAAGGGCCAAATTTTTTAAAAAAAAAGATTTTTTGTCAAGGAATTATATCCTATAATCAAAATCAAAATTGACTTTCCAGTTAGGAAAGGAATTCAGGTCAAGTATGTGAACTAGCAGTTTCAAAACATGACCACATACATGGTTTAGAACAAATATTAAAAACAAACTCTTTTTGCTGTCCTATTTACCAGAAGGTCTTTTCAGCAGTTTCTGTAAATTCTTACCTTGTTGCCAAAGAGTGATTTGAGGTTCAAAAGCAACTAGAGAATAGAGCTATTATTTCTTTGACTTTTCATTAATTCTGGGCCTTATGGTGACTGAACATCTTTCTTTCCAGAAGCTCAGAGACATTGTTTACTGAGCTGCTATGCTAATTTGTACTTTGGAACAAAGCTTGAGCTAGTACTTACTTCAGAGATGGTTCAAATGAATTGAGTAGAAGCAGTGGTACCCAGATCCTGTAGTTTTGGAGATTGCCAAAACCTCAACAACAAACTATTTGATGATTACTCTTAAATCTATACCTTTAGTCAATCTTTCTTCTGAATTCTAAATATATTAACTGTGCATAATATCCTCACCTAGAGGTTCCAGAGACACCTAAAATTCAACTTCTCCCATATGTATTTATAATATTCTACTCCAACCTGCTAACTCTTTGGTATTCTACATCTTGGTTAATGATTTACTTATCCACCTAGAAATCCCAGCCAGAAACCTGCCATCGCTGTTGATTCTTCCTCTTGTTCAGCATTTATACCCAATGAATCTCTCCTGACCATCAGTTCTACTTCCAGAAAGTCATTGAATCTGCCCGTTCTTCCAACCACTATCCTCATTTTCTCTCTCCTGGATTATTGTCATAGCTTCCTAATGGGTCTGCCTGTCTCCAGGGTAACCACTTTCCATTCCACCCACTGAACTGTGCCAGAGTGTGCTTTCTGAATAACAAATCTGATCTTGTCACTCACACAATTAAAATCCTCCAGTGGATCCCAGCCACTTACAGCATGAAAATTCAAACTCCAGAGCACAGCCACAAAGACTGTTTTTGATCTGGCTGCTAGGTCTTTCATCAGCAACCCAGGACAATCCTTCCTGAACTTCTCACAGTTTGGCCCCGCGTAATGCTCTCTTGTGTTTCTCCGGCTTTGCACGTGCAGTGTTCATGCCTGGAACAGCCTTTCTCTTTTCTACCCCCTAAACACCTACTCATCCTTCTAGATGTCGTTCAGTGGCACCTGTTCTGTGTAGCTCTTCCTATGCTCATCTGTGCATATTCTCAGTAGCAATCACATGCACATCCATATAATAGGTTTTACTTCATTGTATTTTAATTCTGTTTATATATTTGTTTCCCCCTCCTTTCTGTGAATTCATTTGAGCATTGTCTTTGTATTCCCAGCATCTAGCAGAGCGCCTGGCAGTAGAGTAGGGACTCAGTGCATGTTTGCTGAATATGAATGAATACCAAGGCAGCTGGTCTCAGTCAAACTGCAGCAACGCTGGGCATGCAGCTCAACATCCTCTGAGACTCTGTCCTCATTTTGCGAAATTAGGGACAACCAGACCTATCTTCCTGTCCTATCATAAGAATTAAAGAAGACATGGGAGTATTCCGTATACAGTAAGTTGATACTTGCATAAATATATTATATGTAAGATCATGTAATTATTGTGACCCATTACACAGTGAACAAGATATTTTTAAAAACTGATTTAGCAATACATATGGCACATAAGGACACTTCACAAAACAGACGTAGAATGTACCTGCCTTCTACTCTCATCCTGGTGAACTTATGCTCTAAAGTCTGGCTTCAGAGTTGGAGAGTCTCCCAAGCCTATCCTGTCTCCGCCCAAGCAGAACTTATCATGGTCCTCTCTAGGCTCCCTATATATCTGGTATATATTTCTCTTATATCTTGCACCACTGCATACAGTTTTTGTTTATGTGTTTGTCTTTTTCCCATTCTATTGGACCTCCTCAAGATGTTATCTAATTTTCCCAGAGCTGTTACTTCCCTTTTCTCAGTGATTACTCCTCTGCAAAGTGGGTCTCATTCAGATTCCCAGAACAAACTGAGGACAATATCCCACAGTTCCCCGGATTGTCCCTCCCCTGGATGAAGGGTATGGTGCTCTGGGAAGTACCCCAGGGTTCATGAGTTATTATCTGAATTCCCCTTGATGGCTGCCTAACTTGTGCTTCAGGCTCCAGGGTGTATTGGAGGTTTCCCAGGCATTTTGCAGCATGATTTATTTCAGAGCTTTAAATGGATGTGTTGTCCTTGCTTTCCCTCTCAGTATCAGCTCAAGTCTCTGTATGAGGCTTGGCACATTCTGTTTACTCCCCGGTTTACTCTTTGCTAATGTGCTGAGCTTTGCTCAGGAACCCTGAGCTATTCAGGGGCATATCTCCTGGACGACAACCAACAGCCTTCCTGGATCTCCTCCCATTCCTCCGCTCCTCTGCTCTCCTTCCTTCACTTCCTCCTCTGCCTTTTTTTCCCTCCTCCTCTTTCTATACTAAAATAGTTTTTTAAAAGCAGCCAATTGTCTTTGAAGATTTGCTCAGTGCCAGGCCTTGTGCCAAGTGCTGTACATGCATTATATCATTTTTCTTTGCAATAAATCTATGAGGAATTCCTATCAATGTCCTTTTTAAAAAAAAAAAAAAAAGATAGGACACTAAAGCTTAGAGAGATAACCTGACTTGGCAGACATTTCAAACCAATTGGGTCTGCTTGAGTCTAAAACTCTTGCTCTTGATCCAGATGATATTGTGCCTCTGAGTCATCACTGACCCCACCTCTGTCACGCTTTTCTGACTCCCACACTTTCCTCTGAGGCCTCTGCCCTACCACTGGTGGCACAGTTTTGCCTGCCTGTGACTTGGAGGTTTATGGTCAGCTGCACATCCATGGTCAACCCCCATTGCATCTGCTGTATGATCTCCATCTACCTCCTTAGTCTGCCTTTCTTTAAGTACCACATCTTGTTACCCTCACCTCCTGACACATAAAAAGTTAGGAACTGTGACTTCTTTACTTTATAGTCCTAAATTGTCCCGCAAGTGGACCCCAAACAAATCTGTTTAACAAATAAATATATGGCTGGGCACGGTGGCTCACGCCTGTAATCCCAGCACTTTGGGAGGCCGAGGTGGGCAGATCACCTGAGGTCAGGAGTTCGAGACCAGCCTCAACATGGAGAAACCCCATCTCTACTAAAAATACAAAATTAGCTGGGCGTGGTGGTGTATGCCTGTAATCCCAGCTACTCAGGAGGCTGAGGTAGGAGAATTGCTTGAACCTGGGAGGCGGAGGTTGTGGTGAGCCGAGATCGCACCATTGCACTCCAGCCTGGGCAACGAGAGTGAAACTCCGTCTCCAAAAAAAAAAAAAAAAAAAAAAAAAAAACAAATAAATATATCTTTAACATGAAAATAATAGGTAATATGTGAATTAAAAAAATATCCAAAATTCTTAGGACCACTAATTATTTTAAACATTGTCCATTTTATATAGAAATACTTGATATGTTAATTTGCATTTTTTTTTGAAGAAGATTCCTCACAGCTGATTAGTAGGCAATTTTGTTGGTTTGGGTTGAATTAAGGCAATATATTTAAATTTAAATGTAGAAAACTGGGTGCTATGGTTTGGATATGGTTTGTCCCCACCCAAACTCATGTTGAAATGGGAATCCCAATGTGGCAGTGTTGGAAAGTGGGGCCTAGTGAAGGTGTTTAGGTCATGGGGGTGGATCCCTTGTGTATACATTAATGGTCTCGCATGGGGTGAATTCTTGCTCTCATGAAAGTGGGTGATTAAAAAGTGTCTGGCAGTCTCAGTTGCTTTCTTTTGCTTCCTTTTCTTACCGTGGGATCCCTTTCCACACAACTGCTCCCATTCTGCTTTCTGCCATGAGTGGAAGCAGCATGAGGCCCTTACCAGATGCAGCTGCCCAATTTTGGACTTTTCAGCCACCAGAATTGTGAACCAAATAAAACATTTTTTCTTGATGAATTCCAGTCTCAGGTATCTGTTATAGCAATACAAACTGGACTAAGAGACTAAGTTCTTTTAAAACTGGAAAGAAAGATTTAGCCGCACAAAAATATTTCTGTAACTTCTTCCAAATCTTAACTTTAGTGTTTCATTATAAGAAGAAGCAATCATGTTGTTTGTGATGTCTCATGATTTTGATCACGGGCAAATCCTAGTCCAGTTTTGGGCTTTCAAGGAGCTACTTGTAAAATCAGATAGTTGGTAGAGCAAAGCTAATTTAAAGTCAGACATTTAACTTTGTGATCATGAGCTGTAACGTGAATGCCTTTTGTTTTGTGTAAGGTAACCTAAATCAGGAGTTTTATTCCTTGAGCTCTAAGCGTATATGAGGAACAAAAGAAATAAGTATTCTGTATTAGTCAAGAAAGATATTACTTTAAAAAATAATTTTTGGATCCACGAGTCAAATTCTGCAAATTTCTATTTACAGGTTTGCTGCCTATTATGTTAATCCTGTATAATATGTCAGAAAAAGTGGACACTTATCTGTCTAAAAATAGAATAGTAGTCCAGGCATACCTCACTTCATTCATTGTGCTTCACTTTATTGCACTTTGCAGATATTACATTTTTTATAAATGGAAGGGTTGTGGCAACCCTGCATCTATCAAGTCTATCAGCACCATTTTTCCAACAGCATATGCCCATTTTGTGTCTCTGTTTCACATTTTGGTAATTCTCACAATGTTTCAAACTTTTTCATTATTATTACATATACTGTGGTGATCTGTGAGCAGTGATTTTTGATGCCATATTGTTATCATTTTGGGGGTGCCACAAACCACACTATATAAGTTAACAAATTCTATTGATAAATGTGTGTGTTCTGACTTCTTCACCCATTGGCCATTCCCTCACCTCTCTCCCTCTCCTTTGGCCTCCCTCTTCCCTAAGACACAACAATATTGAAATTAGGCCAATTAGTACCCTTCAATGGTTGATAAGTGTTCAAATAAGAGGAAGAGTTACACATCTCTCACTTTAAATCAAAAGTAAGAAATGATCAAGCGTAGTAAGGAAGGCATGTCAAATGCCAAGATATGCCAAAAACTAGGCCTCCTGCAGCAAACAACCAACTTGTGACTGCAAAGGAAAAGTTCTTAAAGAAAATTAAAAGTGCTACTCTAGTGAACACATAAGAAATAAGAAATAATAATAAGAAGGTGAAATAATCTAATTACTAATAGGGAGCAAGTTACAGTGCTCTGGATAGAAGATCAAACCAGCCACAACATTCTCTTAAGTCAAAGCCTAATCCAAAGCAAGACTCTAAATCTCTTCAATTCTATAAAGGTTGAGAGAGGTGAGGAAGCTGCAGAAGAAAAGTTTGAAGCTAGCAGAAGCTAGTTTATGAGGTTTAAGAAAAGAAGCCTTCTCCATAAGTAAAAGTGCAAAGTGAAGCAGTATGTATTGATGTAGAAGCTGCAGTAAGTTATCAAGAAGATTCAGCCAAGATCATTGATGAAGGTGGCTACACTAAACAATAGGTTTCTCATATAGATGAAACAGCCTTATGTTGGAAGAAGAGGCCATCTAGGCCTTTTACAGCTAGAAAGGAAAAGTTAATGCCTGGCTTCAAAGCTTCAAAGAACAGGCTGACTCTCTTGATAAGGGCTAAGGGCAGCTAGTGACTTTAAGTTGATCCAGTGCTTATGTATCATTCTGAAAATCCTGAAGTTCTGAAGAATTACACCAAATCTATTCTTGCTGTACTCTAGAAATGGAAAATTAAAACTGGATGGCAACACATTTGTTTACAGCATAGTTTACTGATTATTTTAAGCCCACTAGTTGAGACCCACTGCTCAAAGATTCCTTTCAAAATACTATTGCTCATTGACAATGCACCTGGTCACCTAAGAGCTCTTGATGGAGATTTACAAGGATATTAATGTTGTTTTCGTGCCTGTTAATTCAACATGCATTCTGCAGTCCATGTATCAATGAGTCATTTCAACTTTCAGGTCTCATAATTTATGAAATACATTTTGTAAGGTTATAGCTGCCACAGACAGTAAATCCTTTCATGGATCTGAACAAAGTAAATCAAAAACCTTTTGGAAAGGGCTCACCATTCTATATGCCATTAAGAACATTCATGATTCATGGTAAGAGGTCAAAATGTCAACATTAACAGGAATTTAGAAGAAGTTGATTCCGACCCTAATGGATGACTTGAAGGGGTTCAAGACTTCCGTAGAGGAAGGAACTGCAGATGTCACGAAAATAACAAGAGAACTAGAATTAGAAGTGGAGCCTGAAAATGTGACTGAATTGCTGCAACCTTGTAATAAAACTTGAATGGATGAGGAGTTGCTTCTTAAGGATGAGCAAAGACAGTGATTTTCTGAGATGGAATTTACTCCTGGTGAAGATGCTGTGAACATTTTTGAAATGGCAACAAAAGATTTATAATATTACATAAACTCAATTGATAAAGCAGTGGCAGGGTTTGAGAGGATTGACTCTAATTTTGAAACAAGTTCTACTGTGGGTAAAATGCTATCAAACAGAATTGCATGCTACAGAGAAATTTTTCATAAATGGAAGAGTCAATCAACGTGACAAATATCATTGTTGTCATATATTTTAAAATCCTCACAGCCACCTCAACCTTCAGCAACCACTATCCTGATCAGTTAGAAGCCATCAACATTGAAGCAAGAACCTCTACCAACAAACATTACAACTTGCTAAAGGCTCAGATATTAATCAGTAAGTTATTTTTAAATTAAGCTATGTACTTTTTTAGATATAATGCTATTGCACACTTAATAGACTACAGTATGGTATAAACATAACTTTTATATGCAGTGGGAAACCAAAACAATTCATGTGACTTTATTGTGATATTCACTTTATTGGAGTGGGCCTAGAACTGAACCTGCAATATCTCTAAGGTATGCCTGTATTTATTCACCTCACTGTACTGTTATAACGGCTCTACCAATTCATGTAGACTAAGATTAGCAGTGAGGAGCTGCAAAGGCAAGGATTGAATTAGAGGGAAAAATAGTGCCACACTAAAGGTTATTAGATAGTTCAGTCTCTAGAGCAAAATGAATTGTCTCTTCTTGTCATTCATAAGATGATCAAAAATGTCTTCCACCCAGATCTATAGTCTAATCTTTACTGTTCAACTAAGTGAATTTTTTTTGAGAAACTACTTTAAGGTTTAACATCACGTGGCAGATGTAATAATCATGCAGTTCTTTTATTTAATATCCACAACTACACTGAATGTATATACTTACATAAAGCTATAGAATCCACCATTATTTTAATTTTTGTGTGTATTATAACTGATCTTTTCCAATTGGTTTTATAGATTAAGCAGCTAATACAAATTCCGACTTACAAAAATCCCCATCTTGAATATAAATTAGTTCAATCATTATGGAAGACGTGACGATTCCTCAAAGATCTAGAACCAGAACTACCATTTGACCCAGCAATCCCATTACTGGGTATATACCCAAAGGCATATAAATCATTCAATTACAAAGATACATGCACACATATGTTCATTGCAGCACTATTCACAATAGCAAAGACATGGAATCAACCCAAATGCCCATCAATGAAAGAATAGATAAAGAAAATGTGGTACATATACACCATGGAATACTACACAGCCATAAAAAGGAATGAGATCATGTCCTTTGCAGGGACATGGATGGAGCTGGAAACCATTAGCCTCAGCAAACTAACACAGGAACAGAAAACCAAACACTGAATGTTCTCACTTATAAGTGGGAGCTGAACAATGAAAACACATGGACACAGGGAAGGGAACAACACACACTGGGGCTTGCTGGGGGTGGGGGCAGGGTTAGGGAAGGGAGAGGATCAGGAAAAACAGCTAATGCATGCTGGGCTTGATACCTAGGCAATCGATTGATAGGTGCAGCAAATCACCATGGCACATGTTTACTATGTAACAAATCTGCACATCCTGCACATATACCCTGGAACCTAACAATAAACACCCACTAGCTCGTCAGTATGTATGTGTGGGTGCACTTGAAATGCACTCTTAAGATAAATAGAATTTTAAAAGGTAGGTT
Source organism: Homo sapiens (assembly GCF_000001405.40). Taxonomy (NCBI): domain Eukaryota; kingdom Metazoa; phylum Chordata; class Mammalia; order Primates; family Hominidae; genus Homo; species Homo sapiens. Next base: position 80,017,767 of record NC_000013.11, read on the forward strand.
TGCCAAAAAAGATTAGTTTAAACCAATGAATGAAATGTATTTTGGTCTTTATAAAAATGTAATTTTATCATTTTTTTAAAATTCATGCAAGAACAATGTGTCTACTCTGCCACCTGAGATTTCCTCATTCATTCATTTAGCACATCATTACTGATTAGCAGCTTTAAACCGTATGTTATTCAACCCCGGAGATGTTTATTAAAGAGTAATGTCTATGATTTATCTCCCAGCAAGGACAGCCTTTATGTCCTTTTAGTAATTCTACATGTCAAGTCTCCAAGCCCCTACTTTCATGAATAATAGAGAACTTAGAGGGTTGTATATGTGGAACCAGAAAGTAGTCTAGAAGACACCAATATTTATGTTCTTGGTAAGATTAATTTCCAATTTGTCCACAGATCCATTGAATTCATTGCCAAATGCTAAGAGGCGTGTGTCTATCCTTTCTTAACTCTGGGAATCCTGTAGAGGGTGGGGTGTGGTTTTATATGAGCCGCTCATGTATAGCCACAGATCACTTGTCCTCTGCTTTATAACCTCTCTTTCTGGTTCCTGCCCTCACCATCCATTTGCAGCTGATGGTCCTCCAAGATGTCTCTCTGCCCTTGTGCCACAGCCAGGCCCTGTCCAGACAGTCATTCATTTTTCCATGTCATTACTGTTCTTGCCTTTTGCATACACTGTACTCTGCTAAGTCATCTGTAGTAGGCAGAATAATGTGCCTCCTCCCTCCAAAAAATATGTCCACTATCAAATCAAATTCCTAAAACTCGTGACTATTATGTTGCATGGCAAAGAGGAATTTAGTGTGCAGATCAGATTAAGGTGGCTCATCAGCTAATCTTAAAACACGGAGAGTATTCTAACTTATCCCAGTGGCCTAATGTCATTATAAGGTCCTTAAATGGAAGAGGAAAGCAAAAGAGGACATCAGAGTGAAGCAATGGAAGGACTTGATGCATATTTGCTGGCTTTAGATGGGGCCACGGTCTAGGGGATGTGGGCAGCCTCTAGGAGCTGGGAAAGTCCAGGTAACAGATATTGCCCTAGAGCCTGTTTTAGTGTTGTTTTAAGCCACCAAGTTAGTGGTAATTTGTTATAATAGCCACAGAAGTAAAATGCAGCATCCCTCTGATGGAGATGTGTTGTCTTGTGTAACTTCTGGAAAATGGGACATCCACACTCTCCTAGAGCATTCATATATTGATCTTTAAGTTTTGGTGACTGTCTCTCCCCAGACAGGAGGACATCTCTACCTTTCTCACATCAATGCCTCTTCAAAGGGAGGGTCCTACAGAGAAATGCCTGGACCTCTGGTGATACACTAATTTTATTTTTTAAATAGTCTTCTCCCATTTGGGGCACAGATATTCCAGACTTGTTGGAGAGTACTGAGTGAGGAATTGGTGAAGCTCACCTTACTGGTACTTGAAACTACTGTTTCCTTTTATGCATATGCCAAGCAGAGGTGACAGGCCCAGCATGCGAGACATGACATTCTTGCGGTGATTTTTCTGGTAAAGGCCCATGGTTTTTTAGTGAATCTGGCTCCTGCTCCACCCCCACCCCCTGCATCGGGTATGCTAGCATCTACCAAACATGAATGGCCAGCAGGTCCCATGCTCTTCCCTGTGGAGATTTGGAGCCCCAAGAAAATCACGCATGTGCATAAAAAAGAATGAGATCACATCCTTAGCAGCAACATAGATGAAGCCGGAGGCCTTTATCCTCAGCAAACTAACACAGGGACAGAACACCAAATACCACATTTGCTCAGTTATAAATGGGAGCTAAACTTTGAGTATGTATGGACACAAAGAAGGGAACAACAAACACCGGGGCCTACTTGAGGGTGGAGGGTTAAAGAAGTGTGAGAATCAAAAAACTACCTATCAGGTACTATGCTTATTACCTGGGTGACAAAATAATCCGTACACGAAATCCCTGTGATGTGCAATGTACCTATATATAAAACCTGCACATGTACTCTTGAACCTAAAAGTTAAAAAAATAAAAGTAATAAGTAAATAAAAAGAAAATCAGGCACGCAGCCAGATTATTGTTTTTGTGCATCACCTCATAATCTGCGATGGGTAAGGAGTCTCCTGAGCATTCTAGAACAAAGAAAGAGGTGTATATGCATGAGCATTGGTCTGCCGTTCTAATTCAGCTCCAACATAGCCAACATGTGCTGTCACATAAATTAAATATCTGTTAGCCCCTGTCCTCAAGGTATTCTCTCAATACCTGTTGCAGAGATCGACACAGTGTCTTCTTTGCAGCAGTAGATATTCAGCCTGTGTGCACTGGTGCTGCTGTAAGGCTGAGGTCTGCTCTGATCTGGCAGGGCCTCTGTCATATTGGCAGTTAAGCATTTTGAATGTGGGAGAACAGTGAAATTGAGCTTAAGTCCTCTTCAGGGTGGAATGGAAGGCTATTAGTAGAGAAGAGGCAGGATTTTGAAGAATTATAAGAACTACCAAAAGGTAGGAGGAGAATCCCACAGCATGAGCAAGGGTCAAGATTCAAGTAATCATTTGCTGTGTGTGGAGAGGATTAAGTTGTCCAAACTGGCCAGGGTGCTAAGAAAGAGCCTAAGGGAGCCAGAGAAGCCTAGGTAATCTGTCTTTAAAGCAACATGGTTATAAAACTTTTTGAAAGCTGATCAGTGTACCAATTTGCTTAAAATTTTTTGTTGTTGAAAGTGAGTGTCTTCAGTCACTTTCCTCCCACCCAAGCTTTCTCATTTTGGTAAACTATGAAATAGTCTCTTGCCGGGTGTGGTGACTCATGCCTGTAATCCCAGCACTTTGGGAGGCAGAGGTGGGTGGATCACTTGAGGTCAGGAGTTCGAGACCAGCCTGGCCAACATGGTGAATCCCAGTCTCTACTAAAAATATAAAAATTAGCTGAGTGTGGTGGTGGGCACCTGTAATCCCAGCTACTCGGGAGGCTGAGGCAGGAGAATCGCTTGAACCCAGGAGATGGAGGTTGCAGTGAGCCGAGATCGCACCACTGCACTCCAGCCTGGGTGACAAGAGTGAGACTCCATCTCAAAAAAAAAAAAAAAAAGAAAGAAATAGTCTCTCACATGGCTTTAAGCATTTTGATTTGTTAAGTGCCTTTTTAACTTTATTTTTTTAATGTCGGATTAATTGCATAGTCATTTATTTCTTCTTTGTGCTGTTTGTAATAGAAACATGGCTTAACAATCTACCAGTAACAAGGGAGTAGCATAACGACTTCCTAGGAGTTGGGCTAGTCTGTGTTCAAATGCCATGTCTAGATCCAGGCACAATGTGGCCTTGAACATTACTTAACATCTCTAAGTTTTTACTTTTGCATTTATAAAATGCCATTCATGGTATCTGTCTCCCAGAAATTTTAAGGATTAAAACACGCAATTAGAACTAAAATTCGCCAAAGTGCCCTACACACAGTAAGCCTTCACTCATTAAAAAGTAGATACTTTCATCATTACCTTCTTCCAATACCTTTTCCTTATTAGAAAAAAAAACAAAGAAATTATTACTGCAGAAAAGAAAAAAAATCTGAAACAATATGGCAAACACAAAGAACGTCATAATCCCACTCATTCAAAGGTAACTGCTATTAATATCTTGCTGAATATTTTCCATAATCTTTTATCTGGTTTCCATATATTCTTACATATTATTGAATTTTTTCTTTTGTAAAATGAGATTATGCCATGTATGCCATTATAACCTACTAGATTTGAGCAAACCACCATTTGGTGGACATTTACGCTATTCCAAGTTTTTGTGATATGGCAGTGTAAAACCAACTAAAAATGATTTGCAAATTAAAAAGCACTAATGGTTCTAAAAATTGACAAAAATACTTAAAGACACAAAAACAGTAACAAAACAGCGCATAATTGCCAGTACTTAAAAAGTCCATTTGGTCATCACTGAGACTTCATTTTCATGTGGACCTACTTTCTTTCCAATAAAATAATTTTGAAAATATTATATTTAATTACATGTTTTTCTGGCCAAGTCATATATTGCCAGGGCAAACATGAAACTTTGGCAGCAGGAAGAGGTGAAGGCACAAAGTGTGTATGACACATTAAAAGACTTGATGGAGGATGAGGAGACTTTGAAGGGTTTTAAAGTACAGGCTGAGCAGATTGCATCCCAGTTTTAGACTCTGCAAAACAGACACCTTGAAAGAATTACTTGGGTAACTAAATCTTCCTTATCTAGTGGTAAGGGTTGTGAGTTAAACCAAAAGTTTCAGTAAGTTAGCTCAAATCCTTTCTGGACAAGGTTAAGAATAAGTACATAAAAATATAAATAAATAGGAATCATTTCAAATGAATCATGTTTCTTTTCTGACCAGTAGGAACTTACAGAAATTGTTATTGTTGTTGTAAAATGTGTTACACTAATAAACTCTGAATACCTGTTCCCACATTAGTATTCTAAAGATGAAGGGGGAAAAGAATGCATTAGCTGTTACTCCATTTATGAACTGGGCTGACTGCAAGAGGATAGGGTTAATTCCTCATGTCTGCAGGGAAGCACTTTATCTCGAGTGATGTGTGTCAGAGTTGCTGTCCAGGGCAGATGCTTTCTTCAGCTGGTTCCTGCCTCCACTTCTGTTGCGTCTGAAACAGAGCACTATGCAGAACGTTTGTTCTCAGACTTGCTTAGAGATCTTGTAAAATTTGCTTAATCTCTAGCCCTGAAACATGTGTCTGTGTATGTATTTTTTAGGTGGCCAGGGTTTTTAAAAAAATATGCCTCTCTGGCAATATGTCTGATTGACCAACAGTTGGGACAGAGTGACACAAGAAAATTGTCAGTAATCAGTGCTATGAATATACAAGCCTACCTGATTCATCCACTGGGCTCAGCTTGGTACCAGTGCTTTTGTTTTACATTCATTAAAATTCCCATCAGGACACAAAATGCTGAACATCACCCAAAACAAAACCAAACAAAACTAACCAACCAAAAAAGTAAAATAAAACTTAGGCACAGATACAGCAATGTTGTTTGATGAAGAATTAAACAAACCATGTATATATTGCTTATTCTTCTTTAGCTCGCTGGTAATTTTTTCTAAGGTTGAAACTTTGTGTCAGGTATAAAACCCCAAATATCGAGTTTATGCTTATTTAATTCCCTCTTTGCTTCATGAAGAGAGACTGACAAATATTTTTTAATGAAAGATATGCAGTCTTTCATACTCCCTCTCTATGTTCAAATATGATAGAAAATCCTGTCTTTCGTTTCAGCTCAAACAAACATTTTGGTCATTATACCCTCTAAAAATATAACTTTGCCATATACAAGTTGAGGAAGCATGTAAGGGTTAAAATAGGTGTTTTGATAGGTTAAAATAGGTACTTTATAGATAAAACAAGCCTATGTCAATCATATGTTACACATATGCAAATATTTTGATCTTCATTTTTAAAAACTACAAAGGAAAGTTAATTCCAATTCTAGGAAATGGAATTCTTGTATTTTAAGAAATAAAAACTAGTCCAGGATAGAATTTTCATTTGATCTAAGCTACTGGGTTTCATTTTATTTTTTACTGAAAACATATGCACCCACTGGTTTTACTTTTTGGTGGTAGGGAAAGAAGTAGATATTGAATAGGTTACATGCTGTGCATTACTTTCAACAGACATTGTGTTAAACTAGAGAAACAACCATTTGCAGTGAATGGCAGAGGCTTCTGGTACTCTCTCTAGGGCCTGTTCTCATTCTCTTCAGTGATTGCAGAAAGCCTGAGCTTTGGTTTGGCACACTGACACTAAATCAAGACCTCATTTCCCAAACTCCCTTGCTAGGTGTGGCCCAGTGACAAGTTTTGGTTATGTGGGTATGTGTGATCAACTTCCGGAACATATCCTTTCTCCCTTTCTCCTTTCTACTCCTTGGATGTAAGTGGGATGGCTGGCTCTTCATTCTGAACTGTGAAAGTAGGGAAGCCTCCTAGTGATGGCGACATGGAACACTGGAGGCAACCTGTGTCCCAGATCTGACTATGGAATCATCACACCGTCTCCAAACTACCTCAATCCAGACTTTCATGCAAAAAGAAATGAAGATTCATCATGCTTATACTTTAGGTATTTTGGATCTCTGTTATGAACAAATATAAGCCCTAATGAATACGGAATTTGATGCCTAAAAGCGGAGTGTTGGCCATGGCAAAACCTGAAAGATTGGTGCTGCAGGTGCAGGTAATAGAAGGCAAAAACCTAGCAACTCTCATTCTACTGTGGAAAACCATATGATGAAACTATTACTAGGATCACTTGGAAAGCAGACCACATGCTATGGTCATAGCATCAGGGAAAATTGTAGAAACAATTCAAGAAGTTGTCTTATGTTAGTTGCTTCTTGGTGCTTCAGCAGAGACTACAAAAGAAGTAAACTCAGGTGTGAGCTAATCAGTCTAGTATCAGACTGTAACCTGCAATACAAGTTGACAGAGTCTAGTAATATTACATTAGTAAGTTAATGCTAACTACACATATGTGGTGCTTACTATGGGCCAGTCACCATTCTAGTGCTTTATGTATTTTAAGCAACTTATTCCTCAAAAAACACAATGAAGTGCATACTGTTTTTAACTGCATTTTATAGATGAAGACCAGATAGGCTGAGGAACGTGCCAATTTTACAACTAATAAGTGAGAAACCTGGTTTGTACTAAGCAATCTGGCCCCAAAGTCTGTATTCCTAATTGTCACACTAAACGGTCAGTTATTTGGACCTTATGGAATTGACAAAGCTAGTTGCCTTGTACTACAGATTGAAGCAATTCTAAGTAAAGGCTGCAAAGGGTCAGACTTACCAGAAGACGAAACGGTGCCTCTGAGCTTTTCCCAGCACCTGTATTTAAGAGTTCTCTGCCAGACAATGGCAGCCAGCTCAGTGCAAAAATTAGATGAAGAGAGCTGTGTCCCCACCCCAGCTCTTTGTTTCAGTGACTTTAAGGGAGCCCCTCTGAAACATGAGAGGAGGGGCCTAGGCAGAGCCCAGAGGTAATAAGTAAAAGTCCCTATCATCAGTCTTAAAAACTCTGACTCCACAAGATTTTTATCTGTGATTATTGACACATGGAACTGACCTGAAGCAAATAAACTGGAAGACCACTAGGTGTTTGACAAAATTATATTACTAAGAAAACAAAAACCTATTCAACCCCCAAGGCATTCCCTTGGCCACCAAAGCAGGACCAGCAAAAGGCAGCCTACAAAAGCTGGGCAGGACCGGGTGCAGTGGCTCACGCCTCTAATTCAGCACTTTGGGAGGCCGAGGTGGATGGATCACCTGAGGTCTGGAGTTTGAGACCAGCCTGGCCAACATGATGAAACCCCGTCTCTACTAAAAATACAAAAATTAACCAGGTGTGGTGGTGGGTACCTGTAATCCCAGCTTCTTGAGAGGCTGAGACAGGAGAATCACTTGAACCCAGGAGGCGGAGGTTGCAGTCAGCCGAGATCATGCAACTGCACTCCAGCCTGGATGACACAGCAAGACTCCGTCTCAAAAAAAAAAAAAAAACTCGGCCAGTCCAAAAAGCACACCTTCTCCAATGCCCACCTCGGATGACCCATACACGATAGTGAACCAGGAAGGCCCACTGGGAGGCATTTTCAGTTTTTCAGTTGGGATGACCTAGGAACTCATGCTACTGACAAGAAGAGAGTTGTCATTATTCCTGCCCCTTTCAAGATTGCTCTGCTTTCCATGATCTTTTGTCCAAATGGGAGGTTTTTCTGTTGTGGTTTCCTGTTTTTTGGTGCCCCAAGGTATGCTGCTGTAAGGGCAGATGACTGGCCATGATGAGGAGCCATATATGTACATGTTAGAGATGAATCCCCATGAATCAGAGATCTAAGACTTGCTGGGCTTTGAATAACACCCTCATGAGGATACCTTGAGAAGCAGGGGCTTGCGAAAAGAAAGATGCATATGGTATTTGGGTGGCCAAGGTGGCAGGTGGTAACAGATACTGCTAGTTGTCCTATACCTGTTCTGCTTTTCTTCTATCTAAAGCTGAGATCATGATAAATAAATTAAATACTTTAATTCCCAGCCTAACTCACAGCTAAATGTAACCATGTAACTGAGTTCAGGCTAATGGAATGTGAGAGGGGAAATTATGTGTGCAGTTTTTGAAATATGTCCTAAAGTAAATAGATGTGCCCCTTTTTCTCCCCTTCATCTGTCCTATTTCTTGGAACAGGGATATATTGGCTAGATATCTATTGTGGCGGCCTGATGCATGCCCCTTCCTCTGCCACCAGAAAATGTCCAGGTTCCAGTCCCTGGAACTTGTGAATGTTACTTGATGTGGCAAACAAGGATTTTGCCAGTGTGGTTAAAGATCCCGAGAAAGGAAGATTGTATTGGATCATCCAGATGGGTCCTAAATGTGATGATATGTATCCTTATAGGAGGAAAGCAGAGGGAGTCTTGAAACAGCAGAAGAGGAGACAGCAATGCAATCACAGAAGCAGAGATTGGAGCAATGTGGCCACGCCACAAGGAATGCCCACAGCACCAGAAGCTGAAAGAGGCAAGAAATGGATTCTCCCTAAGAGCCTCTGGAAGGAACACAGCCTTCTTGGTTTGGGCCCAGTGAAACTCACTATAGAACCTCTGGCCTCCAGAACTGTGAGAGCATACATTTCTGTTGGTTTAAATCAGCAAGTTTGTGGTAATTTGTTACACCCTAGGTTTACGGTCTAATACACCACCTCAGATGAGGAGAATGAGAACTCCATTATGGGAAAGGTAAAATGAAAATTTAGAAGTGGCTAAGTTGCCAGATAACTCTGAAACCATAACAGCTCTGAGCTTCCTTCATCAGACTTTTTTAAATGAGAAAGGGATAAACTTCTGTCTTTCAGTCACAGTTATTTGGAGTTTCTTTTATAGGCAGTCAAACCTATAAATAACCGGCAAATATGTTATTTAACCCTCTATCTCTAAGCCAAGATATAACTAAATAATGTAAAATAAATAGATGTCCACCCAAGGAATACGATTTAGTATCACGTTTTAAATATAGTAATAGTAAGTACATAAAGAAAATCTCTTCACTGAGCTTGGTACCACTTATTTCCATGACTGGACTCAAGATATGTGGAAATGATACTTTTACTGCCAAAGACTTTATAGGTTATAGGAATGGTTTCAGTGGTGTTAAATACATTACACCAGTAATGACATGCTTTATGGAAAATAGAAATTCTAGGTGGGTAGGGGGTAGTTCTTGGACACATTGAAACATGGTTTAAAATAACTCAGTCTTTGACCAGGCTTTTCTTCTGTTCATTGGGAATTATTTCATTGCCCACTCTCTATTATGTTTGTCTATCAACACAGGCTTTGCTTTGATTTCGGATCCAAGGTTCACCATCTGCAGCAAGTTGTGTAATCTCTACAAGCCTCAGTTTCCTTGTAGGTAGAATGGAACTACCTCATAAGTTCTCACATAAATGAGGTAAGGCTTTCACAGAGTGCCTGCCACAGTGCAAGAGTTTAATAATAGGAAAGTCGTCATCGCTATTGCTATCTGGATGAGACAGGCCTATTAAGGAACCAAGAAAAGGACTAACAAATATAGTTTTTTGTTTGTTTTTGTTTTGCCTACTGTTGCTACCTTTGAAGAACAAATATAGATTTTGACACTATTAACAGAAGGCAATTTGGAAGATCAAATGTAAGTCTTTTAGTCATCCATTCCTACCAAAAGCTTGTTTCATACAAAATTTTAGTTTGTATGAAGTGTTCTTCTGGTACAACTTTTTAGTCACCATGGGAATTTTATTTCAACAAAGTATTAAACCATGAGGCATTTATTTTGAATATAGTTAGCAAAAAGAGTGATTGGGAGCTGAAGAGAGATAAGGAAAGTGGAATGAAAGGCAGAGAGAAGAAAAGATTTGAGCAATGCAGCTTCAGGCAAGATGGGGAAGGAAGAAGAGTTGAAGCAAGTATGAAAGGGACTAAGAGAGCAAAACGAAGTAGTTTGTAGGATACCATGGGAAATAATGAACTACATAGCCTTTGCACTGGCATTGAGTCACAGAAATACCTATTCACATAGCTGCAGATGACTGAAAGCTTTTTGTCATTGTTGTTCATCTCAAACATCAAAACTATTCTGTAGATCTGGAATTATGGTCAGACACAGGTGAATGTCAACAACTCTGGGTCAAAAAAATCAGAAAGCCATTTAAATCAACTAAGGACCAGGAAGGTAGGATAGAGAACCAGCATAGCTGAGATTGTACTGCAAGTGGTTATTGTGCTAAGTGCATGAATACGCCTCTCTCGTTTAAGTCATACAAAAATCCTGCACCACTATTTTACATAAGAAATGTGAAATAAATTTTTTATCTAAGATGAAATAATAATATTGATATATTAGGGATTCTATTAACGAGAATGTTAAATTAAGATGAGTATGTTATATTAAAATCCATGTTCCATTAATTACATCATGCTGCCAATAATTTTACTTCTGGTACTGTGTGTCCTTCCTGATAAATTTTGGCCTCTCTTTCCCTTGGCATTGTCTTTATAGAAGAATGATATAAGTATTTAACTTTAATAACTTGTCAGAACTACAAAGACAATTGTGAAGCCTCTGCTCAATATTATCTCCTCCTCTGTGTCGTAATATTTCTCCTGAGTGTCTATTTAAGGTCCTTCTAACATTCTTTTCCTCTGTAAAGGACATTTTATGATGATACCACTCTTGTAAAATAATGGTGACTTCCAACTAGGTAGAAAATTTCTGTAAAGGCCAAGGCTAATGCTAGATAAAGTTCTATGCAGATCAGGAATCACTTTAATCTCTTTCACTTTGACATGTCAAAGATGGGAATGAGTTTCCAGAAGAAACAGTAAAGCAATTTCTATATAATCTGAGCGAAGAAAACATGGCACATTTCCAGCAATTCCAGGCTGTGTAGGAAGACAAAATACTATCGATGGAGAAGAGATTAACCTGTAGATTTGAAATGGTTTTATGTATCTTTGAGCTCTGTTGAAATTTGTTATTTCTGAACTCCAAGAAATATCTTTATAACAGGATAATGTTTTTACTCATTTAATTTATATAATATGTCCCAGTGCCTCAAGAAGTAAACAGGGGCATTATCAAAGAGTTAGCCCTAAGCAGTGACACTTTGGGGAAGGATACCCGATCCTGATGTAAGTTTGTTGGAAGGAAACCAGAGTAGATGTCACTGTTAGCCCCAAGCCAACCTGTATTTATGGCAGGTGAGTATAGTAACAAGGACTGCCTGATAAATAATTATCCTTACTGAGGAAAGAAGAGAATTTCCAGGTTTTCTTCTTAACATCTAGTCTCCAATGAGAGAAAAGGATTCACAAAATGATTTAGAGAAAGCAAATAAACAAATTGGTACCTAAAAGAGGGAGACAAGACCCACCCCACCCACAGGAGCAGCTTGCCCCCAAAGCGGACAGTGAAGTAGATGTGCTGTGGAAACAAAGCCTTCCTCTTGCTTTGGGTTGGTGCACAAACATTGGATTGTTGCCGGGCTGGCAGCAGGTGTTCCTCTGTCAACACATGTCCTTTTCCTTTGATAATGGTGTCCAGAATCCTTGATGAACAGTTGGGTAAATTCCCTAGGTTTCTGGGTGAGGACTCAAATCAATAGAACTGTGACACCCTTGAAAGATAATACTGGCTTTAGTTAACAAAGGTGTCTGTGACAGGCTGTTACATAATCTTGCATTTCTTTTTTTATTATTTTTTAAGACCAGCCAGACCAAATACTCAAAAGCTATGCTTGTCACACTAGATAATGACTTTTTTCACAACTAAGTTTTCCTTAATACTATAACAATTTGATATTTGAAATGTGTTTGAACCAGATATTTTATACTCAGTCCTGGTTTTAAACCCACTAGATGGTCTTCAGTTAAGATACTAGGCCCTGGTACACAAAAAACAGAGTAGAATTATAAAATCCTTTTGGCGATGGAAGAGGAGGGATCACAAAATCAAACACCAATATCACGTTGAAGGTTTAATACCTGTTCTAATTAAATGTAACAAAATGAAAAAGAAAATTGCTTTTGGTTGAGTTATTTAAGACAGACATATATTTAAAATTTATTTGGACAATTCAGATAAGAACTTCTACTTGCAGCATGCACTAATCTCAGACCATAGTCTCTGAAATGCAAGCCATACACTTAATAAATCAAATTTGTTTCAGCCTCCCTTACCTGGGACCAGGAGAAAGCCAATTTTGTCAACTCCCCTTTTCCAGGGTTGTATCCGTGATCAAGGAGCATTACAGAGGTACCTAGGTACTCAGGTAGGATCCCATTTAATCCTCAGTCACTGGCTTACACAGGTAGCCTCTGAGATATCTCTTGTTCCCATCCACAAGTCCCTTTCAGAAATGGCATTCTCTAAACTTGTTCCTAACCAGGCCTGGCTAACCCATACCTTCCTGTTGCTTCCGTGCTGAGGCACAGCAATTATCATCTCCTTGTGGTCCTATCTGACTGCACAAAACACAAAACTATCCTCTTTCTTTCTGAAACCCCAACCTGGGAGACAAGGAAGGAGATGGAGGGAGGACACTTCACCTCAGAACTCCAAGGCTATCTCTGTTCAATTTGCTTCCTACTATTTATCCTGTCTCCCTTCCCACCCAAATGAATTGTTTTCTAGACTGTGGCAGGGGAGTGGTCAACTGTCTAATGATTTTCCTTTCATTTGTTTTGTCTTTGCACAGAGTCCTCACTGTGGCTCATGCACTGGGTTTTTCAGCTTCATCACTATTGACATTTTGGGCTGGATATGCTGTTGTTGTGGGCTGTCCTGTGTACTGTACGATGTTAAGCAGCATTCCTGGCCTCTGCCCACTAGGTGCCAGTCACAACCCCATAGACCATAAAAAATTGTTTCCAGATCTTGCCAAATGCCCCTGGGGGCAAAGTTGCCTTTGGGGAAGAACTGCTGCCTTAAAGGTATACGCTTTTGGAAACCAATGCTGGTCAGATTCTCTGGAGACCAGAAACTACTAGTAAACAGGAGAGCTGGCAGAAGGGATGGCCAAACGAGAAGTCAGAGTTTCTATTTTAAATTTTTGTTTACCTCCTGCTTGTCATGCTGGAAAAGGGGATAGAAATGTTAGGATAGCTACACACAAACACTTCTATACTACACATAGATAGTTGAATGTTAGCAGAGTTCTGGCATTGTATTTTTTATGAAGTAATTGTTTTCTTCTTATTAGGCACAGGTTTCACCTTTCTAAGGGAAATATTATACCACTGATACAAACAAAATAGATACAGAAACATGGACATTAAATTTGTGCGTGATAAAATTGCTTTTTTCTAAAATATGTTATTTTTTTCTAATATAAATTAGAGTGTCATATAGAACATCACTATGGCGTCTTATTTTACACACACACACACACACACACACACAAACACACCAAATATTTATAGGTCTGTTTAGCATCAATTATCCCACACTTCTTGAGAAAGAACAGCAAAAGGACTAAACTGTCAAGAAATTCAATTTCTAGGCATCTTGAGTTTCTGAACTTTAGGGAAAGGGAGTCATTTACTTTATATTTCTCTGTGGCTGATCTATGATTAGTCATACAGAGATGTCAAAAGATGTTGACAGAATAAGAATAATAAGCATACATTTATGGCCTTCGTCAACAGCCTAGGAGATCAACTGTCCCGTTAACCAATACCTAGCACTTCCTCCAATGGATAAATCTTGAAAAAAGGGGTTTCCAGATGCAGTTTATATCCAGGTAGTTCATTGACCTTTTTGACACTTCCTTTGTCAATCACTTTTTCCAAGATGAAGGAAATTTGAAAGTCTACAAAGATCACCAAACTTGCTTTCTTTGAGTCAAACTTGCTTTACTTAACTATGAACTGGCAGATGTGTCCATTCCAGTGGTCTGTAAATACTTGGGAAATGGTGAAGCAGTTATTTAGCATGTTTGCCACTAAACATGTTGCCCCCTTCCCATTTGCAGGTTGATCACTTGAGGAAAGAACCCAAACTTTTTGATGTTGACCATACATCTTCCATTTGAGGGCAATTGCCTTTAAACGGGCCACATCTTTGATGTTGCACTTACCCTGGGAAAGATTTAGGTTAAATGGTGTTATTTATCCTAATATTATGATTGTTTTACTTTGGAATTATCTTTCTCAAACACAATACTGAACTGTCTGGGCTCCAAAAGGTGAAAATTGGAAAGCATAAGTTATTCTATACCTATAACACTTGGTTCTCCCAGACCAGCTAAGATGTTTTATGTTTCTAGGTTTTATTTTATTTTATTAATTCTCAGAAATGCGTGTTCATATTTTTCATAAATAAATGTAAATATCTCAATTGAAAATGAACAGAATTGAAAGTCAAATGCATATAAGAGAAAATATATTTCATCAGCCAACATGAAAAAAATTTATTAGTAAACAACAAAATGCACATTAAAACAAGATCTAAATTTTTACTTATCCAATTGGCAGAGATTAAAAATTAATTTAGGATATTCAATACTGGAGATAGTGTTTTGTTAGCAGGAAAGAAAAACGTTATAGCTTCTTTGGAAAATAATTTCACAGTGTGTAGAAGGGGTCTTAAATTTCCAAGTCTGAGACAGGTAATTTTAAATCCAAGAATCTATTCAAAGAAAATCATGTTAAATACAGGGAAACTTTTGTGTACAAATGTGCTCATTTTAGTGCTATTTAGAATATGGAGAAAAGGCGGAAACAAAGCACTTGGCCATAAAAAGAAATTCAAGTAAACTGTGGTACATTCAGTCTATGCATGTAGACATTAAATATACTAATGGTTATTTCTAATAATGGAAAAACATAATATTTAGTAAAAGAAGCACTGTAAAAAATTATAGTAAAATTTATGTATCAAAATTATATAGAAGATGCTTAAAAGACTAAAAATGCAATAAAATATTAATATTTGTTGTCTTTCTAGTGAGACTGAGTAAATGTTTTTAAGTCAAATTTTCCAAATTTTCAGAAAATTCTATATTCAATCATTACTCTTTTATATTTGAAATAAAATAAATTTTATTTTTAAAAAACATATGTACATTTTTTTTTCTTTTTTGAGACAAGGTCTCACTCTGTCACCCAGGATGGAGTGCAGCAGCTTGATCTCAGCTCACTGCAGCCTCCACCTCCTGGGTTCAAGTGATTCTCCTGCCTCAGCCTCCTGAGTAGCTGGTATTACAGGCATGCGCCACCATGCCCAGCTAATTTTTGTATTTTTAGTAGAGATGAGGTTTCACCATGTTGGCCAGGCTGGTCTCAAACTACTGACCTCAAGTGATCCGCCCGCATTGGCCTCCCAACATGCTGGGATTACAGGTGTGAGCCACTGTGCCTGGCCTATGTACATTTTTAAATGGCTACTCTGCAATACTAATCTTCACATGTAGAGTTCTTGGACTAACTACTATGTTTTTATTTCAAATATAAAACTTCAGAATCACAACACTTAAAACATTACTATAACTTTATATCCTAGTCACAATATGATATGGTTTGGCCATGTCCCAACCAAAAATCTCATCTTGAATTATAATCCCCATAATCCCCACGTGTTAATGGAGAGACCAGGTGGAGGTAATTGAATCATGGCAGTGGTTTTTCCCACACTGTTCTCATGATAGTGAGTCAGTTCTCAGGAGATCTGATGGTTTTATAAGTGTTTGGCAAATTCCTCCTTGGCTCATTCTCTCTCCTGCAGCCCTGTGAAGAGGTGCCTTCCACCATGATTGTAAATTTCCTGAGGCTTCCCCAGCTGTGTGGAACTGTGAATCAATTAGACCTCTTTTTTAAAATAAATTACCTAGTCTCAGGTATTTCTTCATAGCAGTGTGAGAATGGACTTACACATACGATTTTTTTGCAGCTAGTCCAGCTTCAGCTGTCTTTGGTAAAATTAATCATTCTTCTTAAAATAATGATAGACTTGTGTCTCATAACTTATGTTTATAAATTATAAACTTATGCCTCATGTCTAATTCTAATATACTACTAGTCAACTTTATGTTCAGGACTTCATACATCCAAAGTTCTCTGTTAGAGGTGCATGACATTCTCTAAAACTATTAACAGACTAATTTTTGGCCATAGCTTGTTCTTTTTCCCCTTATTTCCTTCCTAATATAATACTTACATTCTATCTAGAATTCCAAGAGACTTTCATTCCTCTGTTTGGTAAATGAAAAATAAAAGTTACACTTGCAGAACTTCCTCCTCTGCCCTTCTAATGTTGTAAGTGTCTTGGGTGATCAGCATGAGAGGTACGAAACCTAGTGTTATTCTAGCTGTCTTCAGTCACCAGTAATCCCATGTTCCTGGACTATGAAGCAAGTTAGAGGTCTTGTCAGAGGACTGTGCGTGTGTGTGTGTGTATCAGCAAAAATGAAAAGTAGAAAATATTAAAAAATACAAAAAAATTAACTTCAAAAATCTTAACTAAGTTGTTCTCAATGTGTGGTCCTCAAACAAACTGCATTTCTGACTTCTTAGACATGCACAATCTCAGGCCCTCCATAGACCTACTGAGTTGAAACCTGTGTTTTAGCAAACTCTCTGGGTAATTTTGATAAACATTACAATTTGAGAACCACGGCTTGAGAAGAAGCCCTCCAAAAACTTCAAAGTAGTATGCAAACTAATTGCGTACAAGTACATTTCGAACAAGGTTGAGGCTAGCCAGGGTGCTTTTTGGAGATGACTATTCTTATGGCTCGATGTCTAGCTTATTTTTCTCTTTTACCTCCTAAGTGTTAACATCTCTGCTTCCAGTCCTCTTGTGAATCTGTTTTGCCCTTTTCTTCTCTTCTAAAGGAAGCCTTTTATGGTTAGATTCAGTTGGCCGTGATGTTGGGATATGCCAAAGCAACAGAAATCCACACATTTCCTTTTCCAGATGACGAGCTTAGGATGGTCTTGTGGACTCTGTTCTACTCTTTTCTACACTTTTTATTTCGAAAACAATTCAGCCTGTTATAAGCCAGACTTATGTGTTTCCTTGAGCAACATCTATAGCAGGTGTGTGGCTTCCACATGTACTCATACAAATAAAAAATAATACATGAAAACTTTCATCTCCACTCCCACAATTCAGATTCACAAAAGTATTCCCCAGGTAGATTGTAAATTTCCATATAGATTTACTAGCTGGCAGTTTGCAGCTGTATCAAGTGTTGTTTGATCAGCATCTGGGAATGTCCAGAGAAAGAACCTATAATTGTTATTCTGGATCTGTAAAACAGCATGCCTTCCAGCCACTCCATGTTTTCATTTCCATATTTATGCCCCAGAATTTATTATCTATTTTCCAAATTCTAAACTTACTCAAATACTTTCATGCCTGGGCATTATTCCCAGTGAATTATTTATCATATAGTGAATTATTTCCTCATATAGTTTTTGTAGAATATTTTCTTATCTTTACACCATTTGTCTTATTCTGGCAGCCAAAATGGTTCTACCAGTAGATAAAGAAGGTAATATGATTCAGAGAATGGTAAATGGCTTCCTTGCAAAATGTCTCCCTTACTAGCATGATATAAGGCCTGTGTTTTAATTGATTAGTCAAATTTCCTAGCTCTGATCCCTCTCCCCCAGCTCTGATCCACGTTTTCAACTCCTTGCTTGGTGTCATTCAACCTTCTGAAACATGTTTTTACTCTGGAGCAATGATTCTTAAACTATTCTCTCCATCACTGTCACTTGCTGAACCTAAAACACAGATTTCTGGGCCCACCCTCAAACATTCTGATTCAGTGGGTCCTTAGTAGGGCCAGAGGATTAACATTTCTCACACCCTCACAGGTAATGTTGATGCTGCAAGCTGACATGACACTTTGAGTATCATTCATTTGCTTGACTGTTTTTGTGGTTTACCTTTAATTTTTACATGTGAAGCAGACACCACTGATGTCTCAGCCATCCAAAAGCCATTTCCCCTTTCTCCTTAATAATAAATCCTAATTTTCTATAGGGAGTCACCAAGGCCTTTTGCTTCAAGAAAGCCTGCCTTAAATTTCAGTTCCAGGATGAGAGTTGTAATAACTCTAAGATAATTGAGTTAATAAATTGAAAATAATAGGCATTTCATTCCCCTGTGAATTGCCTAGCATGAAACATGAATAAGATTGTCTGAGGAGCTTCTGAGACAGGATTCTTCTCTCTCAAGAATACACCTGGAAGAGCTAAACCCTTTTCAGAACCCTGGATTGATGGGATGTGATTGCAAGACAACTGCAACCAGCTTGTGACCATCAAGATTTATATGAAAACATTACATTGTACCCCACAAACATACATGCAATTTAAAAAAGGAGAGAGATTGCCATATGCTGAGGATAGTCAGGTAGAAATAAAGAAAATAATTAGGTTCTTAAAATGATGATGAGCCAACAAATTCACTAACCTGGAGCTGCTTTGCCTCAAGACTTATTATGTGGGATTTCTGTTTCCTGCAGCTAAAAGCGTACTAATTTATATTATCTATCTTTCTATCCATCCATCCATCTATTTATCTACTTATCTATATTTCACCTGTCTATATATCTATGTATTCATCCATCTATCTTTAACTTATCTCTACAATTAGATTTTATTTTCTTAGTAAATATTAATGAAGAGAAAAGATAGTTATAATACTATTAGAATATAGCTATGTTAGTTGGGGAGGCTAGCTTACCACCTATCAACATCAAATCAAGAAATAATCACATTTTATCTTATGCAGAGTTTTAGAAAGAATAGAATATAAGAACATTAAGTGTGGTGGGATATGCATAAAAGGACAAAAAGTCAGGATCTATTCAAGTGCACCAAAATGGTGGCCCTGGATTCCTGTTACACGGCAGGAAGGAACTGGGTAGACTCCATTTTTAAAATGTACTTTTGGGTGTCCTTTTATGCACTCTCACGCTTCAGTAATTCATTTTCCACCCTGCATTCAGTGTAATTATAAAAAAGATCTGATCAAGCCATTCTCATTAGAACTCTGTAAAGTCTCTCATTCTTCCTATAATAACCATTTGGAGCCCTTCACTTGGCATACAAGGCCCCAAGTGAGCTGGTTCCCAGTGGTCCCTCAGCACCATGTAGTACCACACTCACTGCCCCTAGCCCCGAAGTCCTGCTTTCAATTCTAGGTTCCTGCCACATGCAATTGCCTCACAAACCTTTACGTATAACACTTCCTCTTTTTAAAAAGGCATCTCCCACATCTTTGCCACTTCCCAATTTACCCTTCCTCTCTCACAATTCAACTTAAATGTCATCCCCATACTGAACCTTTTCTTGAGACTAGACTGTCTTCTTCTGTTCTTATACTCTTATACATAATTCTCTTCTGTGATACTTATCACATTTAATTGTATAATTAAATGTGCAATTAATTATTTAGTCTCTGTTTCCTAAATTACCACATGAGCCCTTAAGGGCAAGAACACATCTGTTTACTACCATATCCCTGGCACCAGACACTAAACATTGGTTGAAACAATCTCTTTTTTCTTCAGGCATATTCTCTGATGACATGTATGCTTCTTTTGTGAAACATTCAATAAATAAGAGTCAACTTGACTTTACACATGACCTTTCCTGCCACTATAGTCAAATGGGCAAAAATAGGCATTAATTTTCTTGCTTCACAAATGAGAAACTGAGGCCCAAAGAGTTTAACTAACCTGCTCATTTTTGTTCCATCTATGTTGACATTTGAAGTCAGAGAGCCTGACTCCTACTCACTGGCTTTTCCTTAGACTAGTCACTCACAGAACATCATTACTCAGCCTGCTCACAACACAACACTCATGCTTAAACAGAGTGCAGCTTTCTTCCGGCCGCTGCACCAGAATTTTATGCAGCTTACCCTGCCCTGAGTCATTCATGGAAAGCATCTGGGAACACATTATGTAAAATACACCATCTCACCTAAAAATGTTCTTCCATCACTAGGGCACAAAGGGTCAGTGGGGTGTTCTGGGAGAGTTATCTGAAAGGAAAGCATACATTTGGGGAGAACATTGCTCCCCGATTATGACCCCATGACTTGCCTGTAGAAAAGCTGGCGGGTGCTCAAGTGTAAAGACCTGGGAAAGCTTGACACTGAGTAAAAGACTTTCCGTTCCTTCTGTAAGGAGATACATTAATGCAGTCGTGGAAATGAATATCCATTCTGTGGTTTTGAACCTCTGAAAGTAGCACTTGGGCAACTAAAAAGTGTCACACCATGCCCTAGAGCTATAGAGAAAACTTGCAGAGTAATTGGTATTATTTGCCCAAGAGATAAGTGGCTTCTGAGAAGTTCCTATATGGTTGTGGACATGCCTCCGCCTCTTGTTTTTCCTTCTAACACTATTCTGACTATAGCTTAGGAGTGAGATTCTTCAACACGGTCACTATTGATGGCCTATAGTCTGCATGCTTTTGTTTTCAAATAAGCAAGCAGTTTATCCCTGCCTCAGGAAGTATAAAGACTGAGAAATGTCAACGGGCCAAGTTAAAGAAATATAAAGTCCAGTTTAGGGGCTATTAAAGGGCTTGGAAAATCTGTATTAAAATTTTGACATCAAAGTTATATGCTTCTCTCAATCAATAAACAATTGTTGAGTATCTGCTCTGTGTTTATTTGTGATGGGAGCAGTCAGGAAATTCAAAAGAGCACTCAGGGAGGTAGAAAGGCAGAGTAGATAGAACAAAGGCCTTAGAGTCAGAAGAATGGATGTGGTTTCAGATTTTCCACTTATTGGGTCAACTTCCTTTGGGCCTGTATCTTATTTGTATAGCTCTAATAGCCTTACCAACTTCACAAGGCTGTTGTCAGAACTGGGGAAGAAAAGTATATCAAAACAAACCCCCCACCACCAAAACTCATTTAGCATTTTGCTAGCTCTTTCAACAAATATTTTTGAAGGCCTATACTAGACTTAAAAAAACTTACCAGACAAAATCCAAATGCTCATGATAGACTCCTGTTTATTCTTCAAGGTTCAAATCAACTACAGCCTCTTCTGTTATGTCATTCCCTAAAATAAATCCCTTCCTTAATTAATCTTGAATGTCCTTACTTCATTGTGTTACTTTATATATTTGGTTAAATGTCCACGTTCAACCCTAAACTATGAGTTCCTCAAAGACAGAGACTGTGCCTTATTCACCTTTGTGCTGACATGATGCCCAGAGTAGCACCTGGTCCAGAAAGTATGCTTTCTTTGGAATCTTAGACTGGATGTATGAAAAGATGAATGGGTATGGGACAGCCTGGGCTCTGAGAGGGAAATCAGCATGAATGCAGGAAGAAGACCTTGACTGAAACAGAGGGTGGGTTTTGATTTGCAAGAGGAAGTGAAAGGAAGACAGTAAGTCCCATGACGAGAACCTGGTGAACTATGTTGAGGAATTTGGACTTAAATTTATAAGGTGTCAGAGTCTGTTAGGAATCCTTTAGCAAAAATATGATATGATCAAACTACTATCCAGACAAAAAAGAAAAGCTCTTATAATTGGAGAATTCTGCCCATAATCAATGTCTTGCTACACACTGAATAGAAAAATTTCCTGGAGCCAAAGATGGTCTTGCAATCCCGGGAAGTGCCCTTCTGCTCATGTCCAACAGGAAGTCATCAGGATAGATACACAACAGTGTATCTATCAGACACAAGGTGGTTAATGAAAATCTATTATAAACACAAAGTGTTGTTGAACAATGCTTGTATTAGAAGGGTTCAAAATGGGCTTATTTAAAAATGTAAAGCTGAATTTTTTCAATAACTTTTTTTGTGTGTTTTTACTTGCAGCAAGAAAATTCTCTTGGGCAAAAAACAATACATGCAATTTTAGTATGATTCACCTTTAATGTCATTTATTCTTCACAGATAAATATACAGAGAAGAAAAACATGACCTAAAAATGTTAATCCAAATGATAAAGGGTATTTTTTGTTACCAAAATTCTATTTAGTATTTACTATTGCAATACTAAAACACTCTCCGAAACTCAAAGATCAATGAAATCTGAAATTAACCAGCATTTCAAGGAGTAATTTAAATAACAAAATAATCTAACCTATCAAATATTTTGTCATAGACCCAACCTTTACAAAGTTGAGTAGAAATTTTCACTTTCCTTGCTTTGAAGAATCTGAGTCCTTCAAAATTGTATCAGATGTTTTTAGTTTTACTGTGTAAGCTTTCCTGGAAAGCTTCAAGTCAAGCATTTTTAAGGGAGTCTTTTAAAATGTAAGAGGGATACTAGAAATAAAATCACCAATAAATTCTTTATGGTATGAGCAAGTCTCTATGTTACGTGTGTTATGGGATCAACATTTCTTGTGTCAGATTTTCATAAAGTAGGATGTCAATGTTCACCTGACTGGGCTTTTTTCCTTAATATTATAAATAAGGTTGCAAGATGCTGTTCTCAAGTACCATATGTCTTCATTTCTATTGTTAAGAACCATTTCTAAAGATCTAACACAAGAGCAGATGAGCCACACTGGCTAGATTTGGGGGTAATTGGATTTTCTTTTCTCTTCACAAAAATTATGCATGCCTGGAAAGAACAGCAAGAATAAACTGCAACCGATGCCTACTAATTACCATCAGCTAGTGCCTGGCTTTTGAAATCTGATTTAAGAAAAAAAAATGAAAAAAAAAAAAACACAGGCTTGGCTGATAGAAAACTGTATAATGTTTAAGCAGTGATGAGGGAAGCCCAATCTTAAGCAGGCTAGACTTTGGACCGAACCCAACTGATGTTTCTCATCCTTGTTTATTTTGTTACTTGACATGATTCAACTCATTAAGGATTTCAAAGGTCCAAGGGAAAGTACTTCTACTTTGCCAAGGCATCCTTCGTTGGAATTCCATTATCTCCCATGATCCGAGACAAGGATTTCCTCCTACTCAGTTCTGAGTAATTATGTGTAAGCAAACCCTTGGTGTTCTTGCAGATGACTGTACTGAGTTGATGGTTCAACATGAATCATTCATGTGGCAGGCATCTTCAATGGAGAGGGTAAGGAGGGCTAACATTGATTTGCAGTGTTTATATGAAGTATGACTTTCTCATTCATTTCATTTGATTCATCAGAGTTGATGTTTGTCCCTATAAACCATTCCCTCTCCTAAAACGATTACAGGGAAAGAAGAGAGAACAAGCACATTCGATCAGTCCCTCCTCCTCTACCAAGTTTAATTTAGACTATGTCTTAAGAAATATTGTTTCCTCCTTGCAGAAATTGAGAATGAGTCGCTCCATCACCACCCTGGCCTGCCCCCCTTAACCCAGCATTTTTCCTCTCTTCACTTCTTTCCCAATCAGTGAAACAAAGTAAATATAAATTAGGCAACGATTTTTTTTTATATGCTGCATTTTATACTTCATATTTTTAAAGCTTCCCTCTTTTGGGGGTGGGGGTGGGAGAGGCAATAAATTCCTCTGAGACTATGATAAAGATGCATCCTCCCAGAATAATTCAACTAAGCACATATTTACAACTGGCATACACCTTTAGGGAGGTTAAAGTCTAAGGTGGATCTCCCCTCACACCTCCTCCCTCCCTCCCATGCCCAAGGACATTAGGTTAAACTTCTGATCTGAAAGTCTCAGATTTGAGGGCAATAGGAACTGAAGCTATTCTTTTCCTTACTTTTTTGATAACATACGTGACAAGGCATGCTACAAGTTTTAAGAGACAACAGCTCAAAAGAGAGCCTGGTACTCCCATCAGGACTCTGAGCCATAATGATTCTTGCATGTCTTTAAAAGTTTTGTTAAGAGCTTCAAAGAAAAAACAACAACACATTTGAGAGACTACCTTGGCAAGTCACTCGGTCTTTCTCATTCTTTTTTAACAGCTTTATTGGGGATATAACTCATATACCATACCATTTACCTAAAGTGTACAATAGCACAATTCATTGCTATTCACAGAGTTAGGCAACCATCACCACAATCAATTTTAGAAAATTTTCATCACCCCAAAAAGAAACCCAGTCCCAGTAGTAATCCATTCCTTATCCCTACCCTCCTCCAGCTCTAGGCAACCACTAATCTACTTCTTGTCTGTATGGATTTGCCTCCTCCAAATGACAGCACACCTGGAATCTGCCCATTGTGTTAACTCTTCTGTAAGACTGTTACCCCAAATGCAGTTACCATAAAACTACTCGCTTGAGTAAAACAACTGGGTGTGAGTGAAGCATTTTATTAGGCATGCAGAAGTTTCAAAGGTGAGCTTTCTACCTAGTTATGAGAATTATTCTAAAAAGAAGCAGTAACTACCACAAAAGCCATACACAATGATATGACATTTCAAAGTACCCCACCCAGTCTTGCTCTTTATAGCTGGTTGACTTCAATCCCAACTCTAAAAGCCAATGCTCGCTAGGAATTATCCCAAGCATCATTTCTCATTTATGGTCAACATTCCATTCACTGGAATCCCAAATAATTTCTGACTTCCCCCTGATCTCTGGAGCTTTTTTCTATGTTTATAGTCTCACAATAATTGTTTCAGATCTTGTGGCAGAGATGGATAGTTGCCTCTCCAAATATATGTTCTCCTTATGTACCTTAGTAAGAGAATCCCAATGTTTAACTAAGCACATTAGTGCATATAGCTTCCCTTGCAACTACATGTAGCTCTATGACTAAGTTCTGCCCAATTATATGAGAGCAGAAATGTTGTATACAGCTTCAGAGACGTGGTCCTAAGGGGTAGAGGCATGCCTTTTCTTCATCTTCTTCCTCCTTCCTTCTGGCTTAATTCAGACACAGTGCCAAACAGCCATCTTCGATCATCTATTGAAAGTCACACATTGATGCAGCGAAACAGCCATCTTCAGCCATCTAATGGAAGTCACACGTTGAGTTTGGCTGAGCAAAAACATAGATCAAGTGTAGGTTTCTAGAATTACCTTAGGTGTCTAGACTATCTGCCACTAGACTTTTTACAAGAAAGAGAAGTCAACTTTTGAGGTACTGTTATTTGGTGGCTGTTAGTCACAGAGGAACCTAATTCTAGCTGGGACTCCTTTACCATTTCTCAGACCCTGACCCTTTTGTGCCTTCCACTACTGGCACATTCTCCACCTCCCTTGTAGAATTTTCTCTATAGAGTAACTTCGTACTATCCAGCTACCGGCATGCTAAAACCCTGGAAAGGCCTCTGAGGCATGTATCCTCAACATTTTTATCTCATATTCTTAAAAAAAGAAATCCTTGGACACTAAGAAAGGAAAATTAGATTCACTAATGAGAGCCAATAATGTCTTCAGGGAAAAAAAAAAATACTTTCAAGATAGTGGATGAAAACTAAATAATAAAGCTGGAGGCAGAGATCTTTCCAAACATAGGGAGCAAAGTGCTTGGAGACTACAAGCCCTCAAATGTGTTTGGGAAAAAACAGTCATCTAATTTCTCTATGTAATTTCCCTATTCGGTAAATAGAAATTTGGCTGGAAACATTGATTGAGCCCCTATTCTTGAGAGCCTTTATGGGGCTTGTACCTCTCTGCCTGGGTTATTATCAAACTACCTGAAGACTTTCCAGTCATCTCAATCTTCTCCTCCAAATAGCAACTGTGACCTTCCTAAAATGCCAATCTGACCATGTCTCCCCCTACTGAACTTCCCTCAGTGACTTCCCCTTGTTCTTCAGGTAAAGTCACAATTATCAAATGGCCTCCAAGGTCTGTAGCACCTGGCCTCTGCCCACGTTTCAGCTGAGCTCCCCCTCACCACCTCTTGGCCATGTCATTTTCTTTTTGTTCCTTCATTGTGTCAAATTTCTTCTCACCTGGGTGTCTTTCCTTATGCCGCTCCTCTTACTTACTCTTCTCTCACTGTTATAATTTCCTGAGTTTCAATCAACCATCATTCAAGTCTAGGCTTAAAACATGACTTCCTAGTCCTACTAGACCAGATGGGGCCAGGTTCAGCCCGGTATATGCTCTCAGAAAAACCTTATACTTATCCGTTATCTCTTGTATCACAATCGTAAGTTATTTTTGTAATTATTTCTTAAATGTCTATTTTCCCTACTGAGCCATGACACCAGTAATTATGTCTGTCTTTCTCTTGATTGTATTTCTAGAACCTAAAATAGTTCCTGGACCAGATTAAATTCTGATAAATATCTGTGAATAAATGAAGGGCAGAAATATGATCAGAACTGTTCTCTCTCTAGATCTATCTATCTATCCTGCCATAATCCTTGGTGATATGGTTTGGCTCTGTTTCCCCACCCAAATCTCATCTTGAATTGTAATCCCCATGTGTTAGGGTAGGGGCCTGATGGGAGGTGATTGAATCATGGGGGCAGATTTCCTTCTTGATCATGATAGTGAGTGAGTTCTCACAAGATGTAGGTGTTTGAAAGTATGTGGCACTTCCCCCTTCACTCTCTCTCCCCTGGTCCACCATGGTAAGACATGCCTACTTCTCCTTTGCCTTCTGCCATGATTGTAAGTTTCCTGAGGCCTCCCAATCATGCCTCCCATTAAGCCTACAGAACTGTGAGTCAATTAAACCTCTCTTCTTCAAAAATTACCTAGTCTTAGGTAGTTTTTTATAGCAGTGTAAAAACAGACTAATTCACATGGGGACTAGAGACAGCTCATTCCCTAAATTAAAAAAGAAGTACCTAAATAAGCTACACTAAAATTATCTGAGACTGTATATTTATGCTTCTATTTCCATCATGGGATAGCAAGTTTCTCAACGGCAAGAACATGTGTATTTAACTGTCTGGTACATAGTCATCATTTACCGCAATATACAAAGCAACTTACGTCTCTAGAAAGTATGTTGGCCCTTTATCCTCATCTATTTGACCTCTCAGCATTCTGCCCCTGGTCCTCTCCACCAGTGACAGCACTAAGGCCCATGGACTTGAAGACCACCTAAAAGCTGATGATTTACCAGACTGGAACTCTGGTTTCAATGCTTAGCATCTGTGGTAGCATCTCAAATGTAAGAGAATTAGTAGTTCTGTCTTTTCCTCTATCCCTTAAAAGCTGTTTGTTCCATGTATCCTTCATTTCAGAAAATGGCATCACCATCCTCTAAGTTCTTGCTATGGCCTGAATATTTGTGCCTCCCCCCAAATTTATATATTGAAGCCATTATTCCCAGTAGATGCTGTTTGTATGCAGAACTTTTGGAGGTAATTAGGTCATGGGGTAGAGCCCTCATGAGATTAGTGTCCTTATAAGAAGGGACATAAGAGATGATTTCTCTATCCATCATGTGAGGACACAGCAAGAAGGCAGTCATGTGTAAACCAGAAAGGGGGTCCTCTCCAGGAAATGAATTGGCTGGCACCTTGATCGTGGACTTCTCAGCCTCCAGACTGTGAGGAATAATTTCTGTTGTTTAAGCCCTGCAGTCTATTTTATTTGTTTTGGCAGCTGATGAAGCTAATGCTCAAGATAAAATCCTGGTTACTTACCTTGCTATTATGCCTCATGTCTAAACCATAAGCAGGCTCTTCAGTCCTACTTAAGCAGCATACCCAGAATCCACTGAACTCATTTTATCTTTACTGTCATTGTCCTCATCACAGACCCATCATCCTCCATTCCTCCAGTGGCAGCCACACTGATTTCTTTGCCCTCTCTAGTGACCCTTCCTTCTGCCTATTTCCACATAGAAAACAGGACAATCTTCTAAAATTGCAAATTAGATCATATCATAGGTTAGAACACTTTAATTGTTCTCAGTGGACTTTGGGAAAAAAACCAAAAAAAAAAAAAAAAAAAAAACACCCAAACATTGGAACTCTTTTTCAGAGTGTATGACATGGCCTATGACATTCTAGAAGATCTGACCTCCCCACTAGTCTCTAGTCTCATCTGGGATGCTTTCCCATCACCTGTTTTGTTCCAGCCACATTGGTCATTGTTCTTTCCTTCAAATACACTATTATCTTATTTACTTATTTTCTAGTTTTGTTGTTGTTGCTTTTTTTCTTTTTCTGAAACAGGATCTTGCTCTGTCACCCAGGCTGGAGTGCAGTGGTGCAATTGTAGCTCAGTGCTTGAACTTGAACTTTGAGCTCAAGCAATCCTCCCACCTCAGCCTCCTGAGTAGCTGGGGCTACTGGCACTCTCCGCTATGCCTGGTTTATCTTTTTTAGTTTGAGTATAGACGAGGTCTTGCTGCATAGCCCAGGCAGGTGTCTTCTAGTTTTTGTTTGTTTGTTTGTTTGTCTTTTGAGATGGAATCTTGCTCTGTCATCCAGGCTGGAGTGCAGTGGTGTGATCTCAGCTCACTGCAACCTCCACCTCCCGGGTTCAGGCGATTCTTCTGCCTCAGTCTCTTGAGTAGCTGGGATTACAGGCGCACGCCACCATGCCCAGCTAATTTTTGTATTTTTAGTGGAGATGGGGTTTTACCATATTGTCTAGGCTAGTCTCAAACTCCTGAACTCATGATCCGCCCACCTCGGCCTCCCAAAGTGCTGGGATTACAAGTGTGAGCCACCGTAGTTTTTTACTACACCCCCTCTAGTTTTTTACTACACCCCCCTCACTAGACCATTAGCTTCTTGAGGCAATGGATCTGCTTTTCTTTTCACTATCCTTTCTCCAGCACTTAGACCAGGACATACACTGTAACAGGCCCTTAGCAGATATTTGTTGAATGAATTAATTACTACAAAATGAGAGCTTGTGGAAGTAGGCTGAATTGAATGAGAGAAGTAATGACAGTAGGAGAAATAATAGCACACCCTTGGAAAAGAAATTGGTGAGGAAAGAAATCACACAACGAAAAGTAAAACTTTAAGAGATTCTGGATGTTAGGTTTTAATAAGTTTGGATCATGCACCCCTTTACAAATGTTATGACATTGTATGACCCACATTTTCAAGGTGTTCCTTGGATACTCTGAATCTCAATCAAGATCCTCTCAGCAAGGGTCATGGATGCCAGTATAATAATTTCTAGAAGGTGATCACTGACAGCTTTACCTTCTGGGGGAACACTTCATTCTGAAGATTAGCCCCCATTTTACATTGCCACTTTTTTGACATGTCAACCATTATCTCAAATTCCCCCCTTTAGATAGACAAAAACGAGAGTACCCACCTGGTGCTGAATTAACCTTGAGAAATTTTAGGTTAGGTAAGGCTGTGTAGGATAAAATATAAAACAAAAAAATTACCTTAAGAATCTGTTTCCCACAGTGGAGTTCCTCCAGATACAGCCAACTTTGCTAGGTTTCACTTAATTATAATTAAAATATCATTATTAAAATTTCTCAGGAATTACACTGTGCTCATCGCTTCCAGAAAGAAGTAAATTATTGTCAAACTGTGTGGATACAGATCCTTGGGTCGAATATAGTTTTTCCACTGGATTAGTCTAAAAGGTAAAAGAAAATGCATGTCTTTAGAGCATTTCCTCTTGTGCACATTCAAATATACAGTGTGTTGAAGGCCTGGGAGGCCATCCAACCTCCTACCTGTTGGATTACACTAGGATAGTGTCACATTTTACTAACACTCCCTAGAAAACCTTATTTTAGAAACATTTTCCGCCTCATTTTATCTGAGTTTGCTCAAGGAACTGAAATCGTCGTGTGCTGAGCTCAATGCCATGTGCAAGGTCTCCGACTAGCACACAGAAAACTCTAAGGAACTGTAATTCAGTGATTCTTGCCATCTGCAAGCCTGTGGAATTCAGGTGCCCACAGGAAGGAATGGAGAGGTTTTTCCAGCCTGACCATATCAGCCGTCTCACCACAAGAACCTTCTGTTTTGGCTGTCGTCCCTCTATCAGACTCAGGCTGTTCTTTATGGCCAACTGTGAGTTTAACGTGTCTGGTTTACATTCTGTTGGTAAAGTGTTTCTCTCAGTTCCAAGCTCCTTTCCTTCCATCCGATGGCTTGACTGCTTTGTATTCATGTTTGTTTTTTAAGAGGAGGTAGGATGGGTGGACGTTAGGGACCATAAAACAACTCTAGAAGTTTGCATTCACAAAATAGTGAAATTAATACTAATAAGGAGAAAGACAGGCACTGATAGTGCAGCAGAGAAAATCCAACAAGTAGGATCAGAGGTGTAAGGATGTGGTAGGTGATTAAATAACTCTGTCAGTGTGGAGTGGGCAGTAACTAACCATTTTATTTTTAATTTTTTTGGTGAATTAAGCAGAAGTTTTAATGACTATCCCTTTCTCATATTTGTGAGGTGTGGGCTGCTGTAAGCTATAGAACCATGGCAAAGGGCTTAATGGGGAGGAAAACAGTTTTAAAATTTCTCTTAGAACCCAGCCCACTGGAATTATGAAAGCAGCCTCAGTAAGTAAGATAGACTTGCATGCGTCCAGTTACAGAGGTGTAGGGAAAGGAATGACTCTAGTTACTGGAAACTAGTATTTGCATTGGACAACATTATTATTTGAATTGGATGGTGGAGGCAAAAGTACATCTTAACTTTATCAAACATGTTTCAGATGCAATTCTTAATTCCTCCACTTAAGGCCATTATGCTTGTGGATACAGGATGATAGTTAATACTTTTAAAACACATTTTAAAAAATTACCTTTAAGCTCCTCAAGTATTCTAAGGATATTCTTAAGCTCCTTAAGAATTCCAACAATAATTTGTTTGCAGGCCAAAGACTGACACCTGCTATATCCTATTGTTGATTATTTTACAAAAGTAATTTAGTTATAGAGGCTTCTATAAAAGCATGCCTCACTAATTTTGTGTGCCTAAAAGAATCAGAGAAACATGCTTAAGAAAATATTTTCCCTCCCCAGGGAGTAAAACAGGCTGGGCTGTGCCCATCTAACAAGGTAGCTTGCATTTTAAGGTTACATTCACTGGGATGAAAAAATATTTTAGTTCAGGTAATTTCTGAAGATTACTCAGTTAAAGGTAAATGAAATATCTTCCTCAGAATAAGAGGAGCTCAGCATTTAAGGGACCTGCTTTTCTAAGTTCTCCTTCCCTTCCATTTTTATCAGCTGGATTGAGAGTGGGTGGTTCTCACTGATCACCACCAAGGATAGCTCAGAGCGCTGAGCCTTTGCAGCTTAGTAACTTGCAGGAAGCGCTTCCCTGTTCACTCACAGGCACATCACGCTTCAATCTCCCCAGGGAGGGTGCACTCGAGGTTTGAGCGTGGGGGTGGAAATGGAGGCGTTTCCGTTCTATTTTGGTTTCTCCTACTGACTGGCTGCTCAGCTGTTCATGAGTCATCCTAACCTCAAAATCTGTCATTAAAACAGAAATAATGATACCTATTTTCTGTGCCTTACATGAATTGCATGAAGACATTATTCATATTTCTGAAATACATGTGAGAATTAGTCAAGGTTAGCTGTAAGAAAAAGTACAATGGAATTGTTTTTAATCCATGATAGCTATGCTTTTATCATTTAGATTTTGAGAATTCTCTGTACTGAAAAATGAAGAATGAGAAGAGATCCTAATAAGGATTAAATTTGACAAAACACTTATTTGATGAACTGGATTAAGATACATACAGTTTTTTTAAATATATGGCATAAGAATGTATTTATTCACATGTTCACTTAATAACATTTTATTGAACATCCCGGCATTGACTTAGACACTAGAATTACCACTATGACACAGAACCTCTCCTAAAGGAGACCACTAGAAACAAGACTACATGATTCTAGGTGACTGCATATGCAAATCTGGTGATATTTGAGAGATGTGCATTTTAATATCATCTATACCAGTGATTCTTAAAACAGAGATTAGGAACTTCGGAGAGAAAGAATTCAGCTTCATAGGAAGAAAAAAATCTACATTTATCGTGAATATGTTTTTCTACAGCTTATTTTATATTACTTAGTTGTTCTTTTTCTAAGCTTGTAAGTTTAATGTTTATATTTTACTCATTCATATTTAGAAATAAAAACATTAAAGACGTGAGTTTGTCTCTGGATACCATTTTGTCCATATTCTATATATTGCTTTTCCTATTTAGTGCTGTCAGTATTATGTAATAAATGCTCTATAATTGAAACTTTTATTAGGTGATCCTATTAACATTTCTAAATGATAACATGACTATGGTTTAGTTTTTGCTGTCAGCATCCAGCAAGCTTACATTAAGCAGATTTGTTTGCAATAGCAGTTTCTTTTGTCTTTCTCGTAAAGTGCAAGTTCCTCATGTGAATTGTTATATACTTGATCTCTGGCTAGGAAGAGTGTTTTACAGCAGCCCCATTTAATTCTTCCTGGTCCATCCATGCACAGGCTTCTACCACATTAAGCATCTTTACTACACACTCCTGTAACCAGACTTCTGCCAAACTGAGCAGTCTTTATAGCAGGCCCCTACAAACAATAAAAGCAAGTTTCTTTATTTGGGTTTGGAGAACAAAAATAGAAATGGAAGAAACTACCTGTTCCTTATTCTCTCATTCTAGGTCCAAGAGAAGATACCCTCACAAATTGGCATTCTCTCCTTGGGATAGATGGGAGAACTCTGTGTGTGATATTATTGAGCTGTCTTGGACTTGAGCTCAGTTATGTGGTTTCCTCTATTTCCTGTCCTGGGAAGAGATGAAAGAGTAGCCCTGAGCCTCTGTGCAGCAGCATCCAGACACCATGGCTAGAATCCCAAATTCTTAGCCTCAGTCTATGAGCTGGGCTTAGATCTTTGATTATGTTGCCCTTCCCTCCCAAACAGGGCTGCCTCCTCAGTGGTTCCTCTCTCCCAATCTTGTCACATGACATATGTGGTTCCTTTCTTAGTGCTTTATTTCTTCTACCAAACATCCGCTCAGAGAGAAGTAGGATTCTAATTATTATTGTCACAATGGTTTTAGCTCATTTAGTAGAAATAAAATTTATAAAATATTTATAAATAAATTTATTCTTTTAGCTAGCTCATGCTGACCAATATATAAGGTATTTTTTGATTCATGATAAATTTTGAGCCAAAACACACTTGCCATCTGAACCCTAAACACGTAAGTAGGATGTTTCCCTTTCTTTTGCTAAGGGACAAATTTCACGATAATATTTTGTGCAAAGTGCACATACACAGGTGAGCATTTTCCTTCCATTCTCACCTCTCAAAGTAAGATAATGAAAAAACCTTAGAAATTTGTACAAGAACTTAATGAAATTAGATTTTTTAAAAATTAGATAATTCTCAATTCTCTGCTTCTAATTCGCCAGATTTTGCATGCTCCTTTGGGCATTCTCTTTTTCTCCTCAGAGTTTCTTGGTTCCCATCACACAAAATGATCCTTGCTAAAGGTATCAGGATCAAACCCTAACCTCTCGTTCTTCAACTGTCCATTTAAATTCCATCAATAGGCTCATGCAAATTACAGATGTTGTGAACAATTCTTTTATTGGGAGAAATTGAAAGAACACTATTTTAACAGTTTAATCAGCATCAAATTAACCTTGCTTAGTCCTGTTCTCAACTAGCAGCTAGTCTTCTGACCAGTCCCATGACCAAGGGCCCACATGTGTCACCAATCGCTAAATATCTGACATAGCCATCTTTGAGTATTTACCTGGAAAACCTACTCATCCTTTTCATTCTATACCTTTATCTTCATTCTCTCATCCATTCTCTGATGCTTTGGCATTCTACCCACTACCTCTTCATTAGTTAAGTGGTTGCTTCTTTCTATCTAGCCAGACTTCCTGATGCCAATTCATGTCCTGACCAAATTTTTGCCTCTCACCTCCTGCTTCCCTTTCCTCCATCATCATGTTCACACTGACTTTCTCCTGAGACATCATCTGTAACTTCTTTAAGGACCTTCCTTATGTTGATGACCTATCTAAGGGGCCCTCTATCACCCACATCATGCTATTTTTAGCACTAGGAAAGGTGGAAACTGCTCAGAATATTTATCACGTGTCTTTAACAGGATCCTAATTTTCATGTACTACTTCTGAAGATACATTATAAGAGAATTCCAAACTGCAGAACAAAGGGTAAGTCTACAAAGGTGCTCAGTGTCTTCATTTATAACAGAAAAATAATTAGAATATGCTAGCCACAAAAGAGTATTTAATAATAATAAACCACCCGATATACCTTAATGCAACTATTAAAATTATGTTTCTAAAGAGAAAGCACTGTAATTATATGGAAATATCACTACAGCATTATGGTAACTTTTTAAAAAATATAAGATTTACTTTATAGAGCATAACTAAGTCCTGTTTGCTTGTCTGTTTAACTTAGTCATAGAAGCCAAGACTGGAAAGAATAGAAGCAAGATAAATGTGAGCAACTGACTATCACATTGAAAGCCTACTTTCAATTTTTCTTCATTTTCTAAATTTCTCTAATGATTACTGT
Organism: Homo sapiens; assembly: GCF_000001405.40. Classification (NCBI taxonomy): domain Eukaryota; kingdom Metazoa; phylum Chordata; class Mammalia; order Primates; family Hominidae; genus Homo; species Homo sapiens. The sequence goes on from NC_000013.11 coordinate 80,052,188, forward strand.
GGTAGACAACCTCTAACATGGTCCCTTGTTGTACTCACCTTGTGCAATTCACACCTGGATATTATCTCCTCTTGTTGAGGGTGAGCTGTACTTGTTTCTAATCAATAGATTGTGGTCAAGATGATGGGATGTCACTTTCATAAATAGATTACAAAAGATTGTGACTTATGTCTTGCTAGCAGACTTTCTTTATCACCTTCTTGGTTTTCATGCTTTGATAAACAAGTTGCCATCTGGGAGAGGCCCACCTGGCAAGGAATTGAGGACAGCCTCTGGTCAACAGCCAGAAAGGAACAGAGGGCCTCAGCCCAACAACCTGCAAAGAAAATGAATGCTGCCAAAACCACCTATTGAGCTTGGAAATGGCATCAATCAAGCCTTCCTCAGCCAAGCCTTCTGATGAGACTGCAGACTTTGATTGAAGCCTTGTTAGAGAACATAAAGCAGAAGATCCAGTTAAGCTGTACTCAGATTCCTGACCCTTGGAAACTGTGAGACAATAAAAGTGTGCTGTTTTCAACTGCTAAATATTGGAGTTATTTGTTACAGAGCAATAACCAACTAGCATATGAAAGTATTATTTTTATAACACAGTAGTAAACTTCTTTTAAAAAGGATATTCAAATAAAATGAATTTGAAATAGTAAAGGACTTTCTGAACATTGTATTAGTCCATTTTCACACTGCTATGAAGAAATACCCATGACTGGGCAATTTATAAAGGAAAAAGGTTTAATTGACCCACAGTTCCACATGGCTGGGGAGGCTTCAAGAAACTTACAATCATAGCAGAAGACAAAGGGAAAGTAAGGCACTTTCTTTGGGAGGCCGAGGTAGGTGGATCATGAAGTCAGGAGTTCAAGACCAGCCTGGCCAACATAATGAAACCCCGTCTCTACTAAAAATACAAAAAAAGTAGCCCAGTGGTGGCAGGCACCTGCAATCCCAGCTACTTGGGAGGCTGAGGCAAGGAGAATCACTTGAATCTGGGAGGTGGAGGTTGCAGTGAGCTGAGATGGTGCCACTGCACTCCAGCCTGGGCAACAGTGCGAGACACCATCTCAAAAAACAAACAAACAAACAAACAAGGCACCTTCTTCACAAAGCAGCAGGAAGGAGAAGTGCAGAGTGAATGGTGAAAAAGCTCCTTAGAAAACCATCAGCTCTTGGCCGGGCATGATGGTTCATGCCTGTAATCCCAGCACTTCGGGAGGCCAAGGCGGGCAGATCACCTGAGGTAGGAGTTTGAGACCTGCCTGGCCAACATGGTGAAACCCCATCTCTACTAAAAATACGAAAATTAGCCAGGCATGGTGGCATGCACCTGCAATCCCAGCTACTCCAGAGGCTGAGACAGGAGAATCACTTGAACCTGGGAAGCAGAGGTTGCAGTGAGCCAAGATCACGCCACTGCACTCCAGCCTGGGCGACAGAGCAAGACTGTCCAAAAAAAAAAAAAGAGAGAGAGAAAAGAAAACCATCAGATCTCATGATAATTCACTCACTCTCATGAGAACAGTATGAGGGAAACTCCTCCATGATCTAATCATGCGGTCCCTCCCCCAATACAGGGGATTACAATTCAGATTACAATTCAAGATGAGATTTGAGTGAGGACACAGGGCCAGACCATATCAAACATCTCCTACAAGGTGACCCTTAGAAGCCGACTCCCTGACTGGAAGAGAGGGAAAGGGAGAGTGTGGGTGTCATCACTGCATAGCACAGAATATTCACACAAGCTCACAGGGGTTTGGGGTTATTGTGGGTGCTTCGATATTTGCGTTTTTATCCTTCTGCTGCTCTCCCAGAAGACTCGCTGATCTGGAAAGTAGAACACGCATCCTGGAATCTAAAACCTATCACAAATGTATTTGGGAGAAAACTTCACTCTCCTGTAAGGGTTTGCCTCACAAGAAAGAAGGAACATGAGACTGTAATACCAACGAGACTGCAAAATGAGACGGTAGTGATGGAACAAAAGGACTCTAGTGTTGACCATGATGTTATGTGAGGAGGTCATACAGAGGAGCCTTCAGAGAGGAGCTGCAGAGGACCTTTCCAACCTCCACCTCTGGGGGCTGACCCAGGAGGGTGTCCCTGAGGGTGAGCTCCTGGACCTATAGATTGTAGTGGATAGGGCATGAAATTCTTCATCCTTGACCACTGGATCCTTCTTTAACCAGTCTTATCAGAAGGAAAGACGCAATTAGAATTTGGGAAAGGGGTGAGAAATGGCATTCAAGAGAGCATGTCTGTATAATTTTGTATGTCAGAACTTTCTACAACCAGACATTTTGAACTTTTAAAACTATATATGTATATAGGTATGCATCTGAATCAGGCAGGAGCTCAAGGAAGAGGGAGGACTCAGATAAGTGGCCGAATAGACCCAGGCAAGGATGTAAGAGTGCATTCTTGTTCTTTATAAATTAATTCTGCCCACTTTCCTCCCACTCTTGGCTCTACCCCACATAAGTACCTCCATCCAGCTGAGCATTACCACTTTTTAGCACTGTGTCCACTTCAACTTCTGGCTCTCACCTTGAGGCCAAGTCCATTTCCTACTGGAGAATCCAGTCTCATTCATATCATCATTTGGCCACAATGCCTGAAGCATTGCTGAACGTACCTTCCAGTAAAAGGGAAACAGATAATATAGTTCTTTCTAAAGACACGACTTGAGTTTTGGAGACACAATTTGTTCTAATATACAAGACAGATGGGAAATACACACTCTTAGTGATTGCCTGAGTCACCGACATTTAGAATGTTTCCTTTCAGCAATTGTGAAAATTGCTATGGGGAAAATGCATCACCATTCAGGAGTGTGTGAAGGACAAGCAGTCACAGAGTAACAGTCAGACCCTCTCAGAGCCCAGTCATGGATTAAAACTGAAACTCACAGATACAATATCATCACTACAAATTTTGCTTATAAATGACATCTGTTAAGTTTTTCCCTATTAGTTCTATATTAGTCACCTTGGACTACCATAATGAAATGTCATAGTTTAAACAACAGAAATATATTTTCTCACAGTTTTGGAGGCTGGGACTATGAGATCGGGGTATCCACATGGTTGCGTTCTGGTTAGCGCTCTTTCTGGCTTGCAGATGGCTGTCTTCTCACCATGTCCTCACATGATGGAGAGAAAGAGAGAGCAAGATTTCTAGTGTCTCTTTTTATAAAGTGCTAAACCCATTGCGGTGGTCCTGACCTCATGACTTAATAGAACCCTAATTACCTCCCAAAGGCCCCGTCTCCAAATAACATCACATTGGGGATTTCAGGACTTTAACACTTGTATTTTGGGGAGACATATACATTCAGCCTATAGCAAGCTTGTTATCCCATATGCATTTCTTTTCACAAGAAATTTTAACTGCATGTTTTCTAGAGAACAAAATTTAAGCCATTCTTTATAGAGTATCCTCTCTGTGTCACAGAATTTTGCCATTTAATGAATGGTTTCAGGTGATCGTGACTATATTTAAACTTTACCTTATACATGGAAGCAAAAAAATACAAGTGTGTTGTATTAGCATTATGTCTTTTAAAATAATTTCTATTTTTAATAACTGGTTAAAAATGCTGCAATACAGGCATGGAAGGTGGAATCAAATATGTTTTTAAGTAAAACAAAATGTATTTTGCACATCGTAACATCAAACTGTTAAGCTACACTTAGAAATTTCAGTTACCTTATATACGAAAACTTACGCTGAGTGGCCTGAAATAAGGTCATTATACCCTGATGCTTTCACAACCTTCTCCTTTTCTCTCTAACAAGTGCTCACTATTATGGGAAGAATGCCTGGCTTTTCTTTGCAGCTTTGCAGAGCTTTAAGGAAGCAGGGTTTTTAATCACATTCTTCTTTTCTTGCTTGCACTTCTGACTTCTCAGAGTTGGCAGCAGAATTTTAAGTTCATCTCAGAGATAGCAGCGCTTTTTAACCTTGGACAGTTTAAAAGTCTCTACCAGGGCATTTCTAGGCATTTTATTGCTTCATTCCTTTATTCTCATGTCAAAGACAAGTGGACTTCAGCCAAAAAAACAAAATTAGAGTAGAACCCTTACTCTATTTCCAGATCAGCTAAACCAATTAATACAATTTAATTAAAACTTATTTTCTTTCTTTTCTGCAGAAGGGGCTCAGAGAGCAGCTGTTGTGATCGGGTTTTCAGTATGTGGCTCCAGATAGATTTAACTCTTACAGGGACACGTTCAGAATGAGATATACAGCATGTGGCACTACTAATTGACTTCACCTTAAATTTCCCATGTGGTACCCTAGCAAACTGCCCCTTGAAATTATCTATTTTCTTAATCTGTAAAGGGAGAAAATTGATGGCATTCCCACTTTTTTCCTTGGGATTTAGTGTTTCATAGGACCCAGTGCTTACAGATAAACTTTTCATATTTAGCAGGTGTCAACCAATTCACTTGGAGAAATGCAAAGTACTTAAGCTACAATGAAAACTGTCCTCCACAAATGTCACAGGATGTGTTTTCACCTTGAACTTGAGGAAAAATTTACAAGACTAATGATCCTCATTTTATCTCCTGTTATGTTTAACTTTGAGCATTCCTGTAAGTTAAACATATAGCATTGACAAAATAATCTCTGATTCACTGGGGTACAAAGAAACCCAGCAAGAGCTTCCCTCATGTTTACCTGCATCCCCATGTTTACCTTGGGGTTTCTAGAGGTTCCTCCTGGGATTCAGCCAGCTGTAGGGACAGAGTTCAAGGTCCTTTCTCAAAAGCACCCAGTTGTAATTTACTTCAATGCTCTCTTTCGCCCCTCTTTGCCCTTCCCTAGTCCATGAAATCTTCACTGAAACTAGAGTAGGGAGAGATGCTGTTTGTGTCAGCTAGAACTGAGTTTGGCTGCCAGAAACAGACACTCCCAAACAGAGGCTTAAAAAATTAAGTGGCTTATTTGCTCATGTAGAAGTCTGGAGATGGATAGACTAGTCTGATGCCACAGCCAAGGACACCATGGGGGGCTCAGGTTCTCCATGTACTTTTCTGCTGAGTTGATGGCCTTCAACTCATGGATACAGGACAGTTCTAGAAACTCCACATACCCCATCAATGTTCCAGGCAGGAAGAAGGAGGACAGGAAAGACAAAAAGAAAGGACAAAGGTCTCATGACAGAAGAGTCTGAACTATATTTGAAGGATTTCCAGGAAGCCTCATCTAGTAATTTCTTTATACCTCCTTTGGGCTTCAGCTAAGTACAGGGTAATCTGGGAAGGTGAGCAGTTCATCTTAACACAATGGTTCACTGAAATAAAAGTGGGGTTCTTACAGTAACAAAGATGAAAACATTTATATTTAGTGGGGAATTAGTTATCTCTGTCATAGCCTACCCCTTTGGCTACCCAATATTCACTCACACACACATTTATTCTAGTATCCTGCCACTTTGTAAATATTATAAAATGTATGGAGACATGCTTACTTGTCATAATGACTGAGAAGCATTTAGTGTATTGGGGCTAGTGATATATGATTCCACTAGCATTTAGTGTGTAGGAGCTAGTGATGTCAATGATTCGGAATAATGAGTTATCTCATCTAGAATCCCAATATTGACTGCTGTCGAGAAACACTATCAAACATAGGAATACTATTTCTGTCCCCAAAGGAGGTGATATCCTAAATTCATAACCATTTCTCTTCTAGGTCAAATCATAAGTTTCTGGGACAGTGTAACTTTTACCATATGTAATTTCTCCTTATCCAATAATCTAGTTATCTCCTTGCAAAATATGCAAAATATCCAATCTACAATGGTGGAGCGAAAATAGTATTAGCTTCAATAAAAAAATCCCCTCTGGGAAATAGAGAAGCCAATGGTTACCACAAATATCAGACCCTGCTGATAAGAGTAGCTACAACTCTTCATTGACCAACCTGGTAGCCCCAGTTCGGGTACCTTGGAAATTCCCTCTGGTCTAATAATCCTCCACCCCTACATCTTAATTGAGCACTGGGGTAGGAGCACACCTTCAAGACTGCATGTGTTCCTGGTACAATTTAGAGTCCAAGAACTGTTTTGCGGGATTGAAAAGTCACAGGCAGATGTTGTCCTTTTCTGAATTTTTTTGTTTGTTTATTTAGTCAATATAGTTCCCTCAAAACTTAGCAAGTTTTAAGGCTATTTGCTGCAGCCAATTCTCCGAGTAACTATAGCCAAGGATCTCATATGGACATAGTTTTATTCATTAAAGTCTTTTATCTATTGACATCTGTGACTTGACTATTTTCCTAAACTCCTGCTGGTCAGTGCCTTGAGGTAGTTAGAAACAACCTTGTGTACAGATACAAACGTTGAATGCGACATTCTTTTTTTTTTTTTTCCAACAATCACTCCCTATTTCAGCAGGGACTTTTTGTAGAAGAGGTGTGGGAAAGGCAGAAGGTATCAATCTAAAACTATCTCTTCTAAGCTGTCCTCTATTTTGGAAAGAGAATAACGTACCTTGTTCAACCTATCGAGGCACAAACCATGGTAGTTTCACGCAACTTGGTTTCTGGGTCATATGCATATGTGTCTCGCAAATTTACTCTCCTAATCTTCTGCTTGCAGATGTCTAGTGGTAGTCTCAGCTGATTTATCTCTTGTAGAACTTGGCTCAAAGAGGAAAGAAGAAAGAGGAAGAAAGAGCAGATTCTACCATCCTGAATTGTTTCTATCATTTTTTCCTAACACAGCAGCCTTGGTTTGTACATGGTCAATACACAATGTGCTGACAGATTAAGCAAATGTTCTATTACTGAAAAATTAGAGTCACCAGTGGCATTTAACTGGATCCCATGTGGATTAAGGAAATTACTGTGTATTTTTCTTGTAGAAAGGTTTGGAGGTAAGCAGCCCAGTGGCTTCATAAGTTCAGCAGTGATCCAGGTTCCTTCTTTCTTTTTGTTCCATCAAAATTAGTATGTGATATTTGTCCTCCAGTTTGTTGCAGTGTGGTTACAAAATGGCTGTTCTATTTCCATCTCCATTACTTACTGTGTAACCTGGAATATACTGTTAATCTATTTAGGTTCAATTTTCTTAACTATAAAATGGGGATACTAATAAATGAACGAACTGTCACTCCCCTGGGTGTTCTCAACAATTTCAGCCTGCTGTGACACATGTTCTTTAATACTCAAATAAAGCTGGATGATATCCCTCTCATATATGATGGAAAATCTACTTTCCAACTTATCATATATATTTATGAATTTTGAGGTGCCTTGTGTTTCTGCTAGACACTCTAGATCTAGTTTCCTCTTTCCTCTGAATTCTAAATTCCTGAACTGCGTCTGAAGATTCCATACTTGAGCCCAACCAAAAAGACATCTTTCAATGTAATGTTCAATATTTCTTTTGAAGCCCTTCAAACATTTTCTTTACCAGAAACTTGTCTCTAGTTATTGATTCTTGCAGAGCACCAGTTTTCAGTTCCATTGTTTATATCTTTTCTCTTATCTCTCTCTGCCAACTTTATCTCCTGCTTTTAAGCTGTCTTGCCCATATAATATTTCCAGGTTTTTTGTGTTTTTATTGGCAGAGGAATTTGGCTATTTATTTTGCTCCAAATCATCCTGATTATATTCAAGGCTTCTCCTCTTTCATAACCAAGGGGATTATAAATATATTTTTCTAAACAAGAATGCTCATCCCCTGAAGATTTCTACTTTTGAACATGAAGCTTTTAAACTTTCCTCCCTCCCTTTTGTAAATTCTCCAGTAAAAATACCTATAAGAATATTGTAAAGATTACGTGATACAACAGATGTAAAAGTGACTGGAACATCATATGCATTTAGTAAATGTTTAACTCATCTCTCTCTCATGCTCAGTAGATTAAGCTGTTAAAAGCTGCATCGTTATTTCTAAAGTTTTGTCTGAAATAATAAAATATTACCTACTTAAGTACTGTAAAATATTTAACTAATCAGCTTGAAATGGAAGATTTAGAAAATATGTTTTTAAACTCCAGAATTGAAAAGGCCTTTTAAAACATATTATTGCAACTTATGTTTGTGCAAGTAGAACAATCTAAAGTTAAAGAAATCTAGGCCGGGCACAGTGGCTCATGCCTGTAATCCCAGCACTTTGGGAGGCCGAGGAGGGTGGATCACAAGGTCAGGAGTTCAAGACCAGTCTAGCCAACATAGTGAAACCCTGTCTCTACTAAAAATACAAAAAATTTACCGGGTGTGGTGGTGTGCACCTGTAATCCCAGCTATTCGGGAGGCTGAGGCAGGAGAATTGCGTGAACCCAGGAGGTGGAGGTTGCAGTGAGCAGACGTCACACCACTGCACTCCAACCCAGGCAACAGTGTGAGACTCTGTCTCAAAGAAAAAAAAAAAAAGGTCTGTAAGGGCTAGCTTAAGTTTTTTGGTAAATTTTTAATGTAAACATCATTTTTTCTTCTTCATTTTTGTGGATATATATTAATTTGATTCATCCTAGAGTATTATACACACTACCCCTAGCTAGGTGAAAATTTATTTATCACAAGCTCTCATGGAATCTGCTCCTTGCTTTCAGAGCACTTATTTCAATTTGCAATTATACATTCACCAATGGAGTTATTTGTCTAATGTCTGCCTCTCCCGCTGGACTGGACCGTAAGCCCAGTGAGGAGGGTCTTTTCCCATTTTTGCCTGACTTTGTGTTTCTAGCACCTAGCCCCATGTTTAAATCATTGAGTGCACAATGTCCTCCTACACTCTGTACTCTACAACTGGTATGGGCAATTCTGACCATGTCCCTTTACTACTTAATTATTCAGCTGTCCCCTCTTGACATTGAATATATCCAGGATCTCAGCAAAACATTTAAGGCTCTTATATTGTGGTGTGTGCCCAGTTTTCAAATGTCACCTCCCACTACTCCCCACAAAAACCCCAGGTTCCTGCAGTACCCAATGGTCAGCCAAGTTCTCTGAGCATCTGTCTGGAATGCCAGTCTTTCCTCAAAATCATCTTCTCAACAGATATTTACTCTTACTTCCAGACTCAGATAAACATTTCCTTTCTCTTCTATTAAGCCTTCTTTGACTTACTTTTAGGGAAAATTGGAGGTTTATTCTTCTTTTTCTGCATAATGCTCTCTTCACATACCTCTATTAAAGTAGTTACAGTATGTTTCAAGGGCAAGGGCTCTGTTCTCTTAAACTTTGTATCTCCAGTCCATAGTACAATGATTGTTACTTAGGAGGTTTTCAATAAATGTTTCTTGAATGAATGAATCAGAAATATATAGGTAAACTTTTTTTAAATGGAATGAATTGGTGCTGCTTCAGATATTTTATTCCAATTTAAATATGTGTCTGTATATGTATACACACACATTATCCAACAAATTTTACTGTTTTCCAAAAATGCAAAATATTTGATGGGGGTTGGGGAGAGGAAGAATCTATTCCCTCATGGTTTCTTTAGTTTTTCATTAAATTTCTTTCTTTAGGTAATATTCTCAAATCTTGTCAAATCTTGTGGGTTTAACATGACTTCTAAAGATTTCATCAGATTGTTTGATGCTAGTTTACACAGAAGAAGACTATGACAACATGCAACAATTATTAAATGAGCATTTGTGTACTAGTCAGGGTTCTCTAGAGAGACATAACTAATAGAATATACAGAACACACACACAAACACATACACACACACACACACACACACACACACACACGGAAGTTTATTAAGCATTAACTTACACAATCACAGGGTCCCACAATAGGCTGTCTATAAGCTTGAAGAGCAAGGAGAGCCAGTCCAAGTTCCAAAACTGAAGAACTTGGAGTCTGATGTTTGAGGGCAGGAAGCATCCAGCATGGGAGAAAGATGTAGGCTGGGAGGCTAGGCCAGTCTCACTTTTTCAAGTTTTTCTGTCTGCCTTATATTCACTGGCAGCTAATTAGGTGGTGCTCACCAGATTATGGGTGAGTCTGCCTTCCCCAGCCCACTGACTCAAATGTTAATCTCCTTTGGCAACACCCTCACAGACACACCCAGGGTCAATACTTTGTATCCTTCCATCCAATCAAGTTGACACTCAGTATTAACCATCACAAGTTCACCCCTTGTCAACTTGAACCCATACACATCTCCTGAGATCATACATAATCTTCAAATAAAGATAATAATAAAGTCACAATTACACCTAACATAATACAACTATCCTTCCTACAACTGGAAACGCACCAACCCCCAACCCAAATACTATTACATAAAGTTAACAATACTTACATGCTGACATGAAATCAATAAATCTTATGTCATGAAATAAAGGAAAAGGAAATAAAATGAAGATATTTTCTCAGTACAAGTGTATACATGCACAAACATGTTTTTAACAAAAGAAGGAGGAAATACTCATGTGTTACAGTCCTCATTTCTGCAGCTGCTCACATGCTCATAGCTGGTATTGATGACTACCTTCTTCCACTACCCATTCTGGATTCCCTTTGCTTTCAGCAAGCACCTCAGCAGGTCTTGGTTTTTTTCCTGGTGGAGTGACCCAAACCTTCATTTTTGAAGGGTCTGGGCCATTTGTAGTCCTGCCTGGATTGGGCTGTTGTAGTTTCCCATTGACCTTAATCACAGGGCATGGCAATACTAACAGACACCCTAATGGATCTGCTGTATTCTATGCATACTCTTCCTTGCCTCCATTGTAAACTAGTAGACTGATTTCATCTTGCTAGTCTGGGTCAATCACCCCAGCCAACACTGTAACTCCTTCTTAGCCTGTTGACTTAAAGGTAGGAGGAGTCCAAAGTGTCCAGGTGGCAATCTTAACTTCCAGTTTAATGGAATCATTATGCCTCCCAGTGGTAGCGTTCCTCCCTCTGGAACTAAAACTTCTAGGCCAGCAGAACATAATGTCACAGGAATAGGAAGCAAAAATTTTGCTAGTGGATCACTAGGGGTGATGGTGAGTGGTGCCACTTCCACTTCCACCCCTTGATTTTTGGACCTGTGAATCCTGGCTGTGAGAGCAACAGTACCATATATTGGACGCTGATTCAGAGCATACACAGCCTTCTGGAGAACTTTGCCCCAGCCCTGCAAAGTATTGTCACCTAGTTGGTGTTGTAATTGTGACTTCAAAAGGCCATTCCACAAAAGGCAGCAGTTCTATCAATCCAGCTGCTTCAGGATGATGGAGAACATGGTAAGACCAGTGATTTCCATAAGCATGAGCCCATTGCCACACCTGTTTTGGCTATGAAGTGAGTTCCTTGGTCAGAAGCAATGCTATGTGGAATACCATGGTGGCGGATAAGGCATGCTGTGAGTCCATGGATGGTAGTCTTGGCAAAAGCATAGAGTGCAGGATAGGCAGACCTATATCTGGAGTAGGTGTCTATTCTAGTGAGGACAAATCTTTGCCTTTTCCATGATGCAAGAGGTCCAATATAATCCACTTGCCACCAGGTAGCTGGCTGATCACCCGAGGAATGGTGCCATATCAAGGTCCCAGTGTTGGTCTCTGCTACTGGCGAATTGGGCACTCAACAGTGGCTGTAGCCAGGTCAGCCTTGGTGAGTGGAAGTCCATGTTGATGATCCCATGTGTAACCTCCATCCCTGCCACCATGGTGACTTTGTTCGTGGGCCCATTGGGCAATGACGGGTTGGCTGGGGAAAGAGGCTGAGTGATGTCCACAGAACGAGTCATCCTATCCACTTGATTATTAAAATCCTCCTCTGCTGAGGTCACCCGTTGGTGAACACTCACAAGAGATACAAATATCTTCACAGTTTTTGACTACTCAGAGAGGTCCATCCACATACCTCTTCCCCAAATTTCTTTGTCATCAATTTTCCAATTATGCTTCTTCCAAGTCCCTGACCATCCAGCCAAACCATTGGCTGCAGCACATGAATCAATATATAATCACACATCTGGCCATTTCTCCTTCCATGCAAAGTGCACAACCAGGTGCGCTGCTCGAAGTTCTGCCCACTTGGAAGATTCCCTTCACTGTTGTCCTTCAGGGATGTCCTAGAAAGGGGCTGTAGTGCTGCAGCTGTCCACTTTTAGGTGGTGCTTGCATATCATGCAGAACCATCTGTGAACCAGGTCCTAGTCTTCTCCTCCTCTGTCAACTGATCATAGGGAACTCCCCATGAGGCCATCGGTGCAGGCTGGGGGAGAGAAGGCAAGGTGGCAGTAGTGGAGACCATAAGCATTCGAGTCACTTCCTCATGTAACTTACTTGCACCTTCAGGACCTGCTCGAGCCCGATCATGTATATGCCACTTCCATTTGATGATGGAATGCTGCTGTGCATGACCCACTTTATGGCTAGATGGTTCAGAAAGCACTCAGTTCATGATAGGCGGTTCAGGTCTCATGGTGACTTGATGACCCATAGTCAAACGTTCAGTCTCCACCAAAGCCCAGTAACAGGCCAAGAGCTGTCTCTCAAAAGGAGAGCTGTTATCTGCAGAAGATGGCAGGGTCTTGTTCCAAAATCCTAGAGGCTTCTGCTGTGATTCACCTATGGGGGCCTGCCAGAGGCTCCAAACAGCATCCCTATCTGCCACTGACACCTCAAGCACCATTGGATCTGCTGGGTCATATGGCCCAAGTGGCAGGGCTGTTTGCACAGCAGCCTGGACCTGTTGCAGAGCCTTCTTCTGTTCTGGACCCCACTCAAAACTGGCAGCCTTTTGGGTCACTCAGTAAATGGGCTGGAATAACACAGTCAAATGAAGAATATGTTGCCTCCAAAGTCCAAATAGGCCCACTAGGCATTGTGCCTCTTTCTTGGTTGTAGGAGGGCCAAATGCAGCAACTCATCCTTCACCTTAAAAGGAATACCTCAGCAGGCCTCTTGCCACTGGACCCCTAGAAATTTTACTGAAGTAGAAGTTCCCTGAATTTTAGTCAGATTTATTTCCCATCCTCTAGCATGCAAATGTCTCACCAATAAGTCCAGTGTGTTTGCTACTTCTAGCTCACTGGATCCAATCAGCATAATGTCATCAATGTAATGGACCAGTGTGATATCTTGCAGAAGCAAAAGGTGATCCAGGTCTCTTAGAATAAGATTATGACACAAAGTTGATATACCCCTGAGGTAGGACAGTAAAGGTATATTACTGACCTTGGAAGCTCCAGGCAACATCTCTCACAGATACACCCACACTTTGTATCCTTCATTCTTATCAAGTTGACACTCAGAATTAACCATCACAATTTGTTAAGCACAGGAAAAGAATTGAAAAACATATTCCTAAGATACATATCTTTTTTTTCAACATAGGTGTTCTTCAGCACTACACAATTAGCATATTCCTACATCATCTATACAGCAACTCGTATATCTCCACTGATTTAATTTCCTTATCTGTCCTAATTACTTACTTGATTGTTCAAATATACACACTTATACAAAATTCAAACATAAAGAAGTAGATGACCACACAATATGTCCTATTCACTGCTCCTTAAAGACAAGTGGGGTTCATATATTTTCCAAATATATACCCGAGAACAATATCACCAGGGGAGCAAGAAGTAGCAAACACACTGGACTTATTGGTTGAGACATTTGCATGCTAGAGGATGGGAAATAAATCTGACTAAAATTCAGGGAACTTCTATCTCAGTAAAATTTCTAGGGGTCCAGTGGCAAGGGGCCTGTTGAGATACTCCTTTTAAGGTGAAGGATGAGTTGCTGCATTTGGCCCTCCTACAACCAAGAAAGAGGCACAATGCCTAGCATGCTGACTTGTTTACCAGGGGCTGCCAGGGATAGCTGACTAAATGACTATTCTACTCAGAGGCTTGACTAAAAGGGAAGATGAAATATAAAGTGATAGCCAAAAAAAAAGAAAACACTTGAGTGCATGTTGAGGCTTTTCGAAGAATATTATTTGTCTTGTTTTTCATTAAGATAGTAAAGGTTTGAAAATCTTTACCAGGCTGAGGAGAAAATCCAGTAGAAGTAAGATAATTATGAGAATGGAGCCTAATGGGGGTAATGTCTCCAGTAGATGAAGTGGAAAGTGATTTATCTGACATTTGGCTTATGGAAAATTTAATTCACAAAATATCAAGTACAGAGGGATTTTGAAAATCATTAAATCTCCTCTCATTGGGCAAATTTTTAAAAATACAGCCCATATAGTTAAATGGCTTTTCCAGATTCAATCCTTTGACTCCAATTTTAATTGTGAATCTCAACTCAAATGTTGATTGAGGTTGTGAGGAAATTTATAGAGCTACTTCTTCCTGGAAACTCTCCGGATAGGGCCTGCAAGCAGAAAAGAAAGAAGAAAGGCAAGGAGGGAAGGAGGGAGAGAGGGAGAGAAAGAAAGAAGGAAGGAAGGAAGGAAGGAAGGAATGAAGGAAGGAAGGGAGGAAGGGAGGGAGGGAGGGAGGGAGGGATGGAGGGAGGGAGGGGAGGGGAGGGGAGGGGAGGGAGAGAGAAGAAAGAAGAAAGAAAGAAAAAGAAAGAAAGAAAGAAAGAGAAATCCTTTAACTTGCATTAAATTTCAATTTCTTCTTATCCAGTTCTCTCATGACCTCCTGACATGTTGGATAAATTAATGAAGAATAGATGAATATTGTATTAGTCCATTCTCTTTTTTTTTTGAGAGAGAGTCTCGCTCTCTCACCCAGGCTGGAGTGCAATGGCACAATCTCAGTTCACTGCAACCTCCGCCTCCTGGGTTCACTCCATTCTCCTGCCTCAGCCTCCCGAGTAGTTGGGACTACAGGTGCCTGCCACCACGCCTGGCTAATGTTCTGTATTTTTTTTTAAGTAGAGACAGGGTTTCACCATGTTAGCCAGGATAGTCTCGATCTGCTGACCTTGTCATCCGCCCGCCTCAGCCTCCCAAAGTGCTGGGATTACAGGTGTGAGCCACCGTGCCTGGTGTTTTAGTCCATTCTCACACTACTATAAAAAACTACCTGAGACTGGGTAATTTATGAAGAAAAGAGTTTCATTGATTCACAGTTCTGCAGGCTATACTGGAAGCATGGCTGGGAGGCCCCCAGGAAACTTACAATATGGTGGAAGGCAAAGGGGAAGCAAGCACATCTTACCATGACAGAGCAAAAGAGAGAGCATGAAGAGGGAAGTGCTACACACTTTTAAACAATCAGATCTTGTGAGAACTCACTATCACGAGATCAGCAAAGGGGAAGTCGGCCAACAACATTGGAAATTACAATTCGATATGAGATTTGGGTGGGAACACAGAGCCAAACCATATCAAATATCATATGCTTTTCACACATAACTTCATTCAATTTTCAAAACAGTATTAATATATTTCTGCATTATCAATGTAGAACTGGGATTCAAAGAAGATACTAAAATTTTCTAAGTTCGCACAGCTTAGAGTTGGAGTTAAGATTTGGAACCAAGTTTTGAACTCCTGCTATAGATCAACTTCCCTTATCCTCAATATTTTACTGTAGGTGCTAACTTATCCTTAACATTGTAAGGGAGATATCTAATATTTTAAAGAAATTAATTCATCGTTACATTTGAAAAATAAGAACTTTTCTAATTATCAAATAATCGGTAAGGTTTTGGGATACTCAAATAAGATATGGCCAGCATTATGCTAGATTCTAGTAGCTAGGCACTGAAAACAACCAGCAAAAATATAAGATATATTTTCTGTCCTTAGGAGTGTATTGCATAATTATAAAAATTGATCCAGAACATACAACAGCAAAATATATGTAGTCTTTTGTTAAATAGCATCTCTACCAGGGTTAAGAAGGCAGGTAGCCCTGTGGACTAGATATGTTATGGCCAATTTACTGAAGATGGGCCTTGAAGATGAATAGGATTGAGAGAAATGGAGAATAATAGTAAGAAAAGCGTAACCTTCAAGGGTGGGAAACCATCTAAAGTGGGCCTAATAAAGATGTACCAGCAGAAGAGTGGGAATAGACTGGTTTAACCAGATTGAGTGTACATACGCTAGCAAGTGTTGAGAAATAGGACTGGATGAGGCCTGGCCATGGAGGGTCTTGAAAACTGAACAGATACTAAGTGTCAAGTTCATGCTCCAAATTCTACAGTCTTGGCACTCTTTTTTAATTTTTTGAGACAACGGTCTTGCTGTGTTGCCCAGGCTGGAGTGCAGTGGCTATTCAGAGGTGCAATTGTGTTGCACTGCAGCCTCAACTTCCTGGCCTCAAGCAATCCTCCTTACTCAAGAGTAGCTAGGACTACAGGTGCATGCCATTGTGCTGGGCTTTTGTACTCTTGATATGCCTCCTTTAAGGAAGCTGCACTGGATAGGTACTTATTATTAAATACTTATTTCCCATGTTATAACCTTTGAGTCATAAAAAATTATCTTCCAAATATCTATCTCTCCATAATCTCTGGGCTGATCCAGGTTTCATGGGCAGATCCAGATTTTATGGGGCCTGAAGCTATATAATATAATTTATGGGCCCCTTTTTAAGAAGATGAATATAAAATTATAAAATAAAAATCAATTATGAAAGTAGATATTTAGAATTTTTAAAAATTCTAAATATTTATTTAGAATATTTATTATTTAGAATTTTAAAAAATACCAATTACAAATTTTTTTAAGATCACAAATACCTCAAATGTCACAAAATCCAGAAAAGCAACATATGATCTTTATTAATCATCTAGCTGACCCACTTCTGCCACACATTTTTCCTATACTTTTGGGCTACATGCTCTTTGATGGCCTTTTCATATGACAATAATTTTGTAATATTTTCTGTAGCAACATCAGGAAGATAATTCAACCAATCCTTCTATAAGGTTGACTTAGAAAAAAAATTATTATTGATATTTTTGGAAAGATTTTAGTTTCATAACCTCATATTAATATTATTTAATATTTAGGTTTGTGTCAATTTTGGAAAATTTCAAATTTCTGTCTTATATGAACTGTAGGATTAGAGGCATTTCAAGTTTTCTTGAGTAGTGGCTTAACTGGGGACATGTTTAGTGATAAGCTATGGACTTCGTGTTATTCTAACTAGCACAGTAGGCAGTAGCGGTGTTCCTACACTAGCACAGCTAGCAGTAACTCAACTACTATGGAAGTAACCACAAACCATAACATCATATCCCCAATTTGACTTCCCCTTAGTCTGGCCCCCAAAATGCCACTGCCATCAGTGTTACATACTTGACAGGGGATGATGGGTGGAAAAGGACAGCCAGTCGGGATTGAAATATACTTTTGCAAATTTCACAAGCCTTAGAAGTATGGTGTTATGGCTTGCAGTTATTTCAATGTGCAGTTAAGTTATTGCTAGTGGTCATGGTTTAGGAACACCCCTTCTTCCAATGTGCTAGTTCACCTAGAGTAATGACATCATGACATATATGGCTATCATTTATGTGTCCCCAATTAAATGAATCATTACCAAAGAAAAGTTCAAATGCCCTCTAATGGCTTGCTAAGGCGTCTCACAAAGTTGGGTAAGGCCGGAACTTAAGATCCATTAGTGGCATTTAAAATAAATCATTCTCTGGATCTTACTATAAGAGTAGAATCTATAAATCACTCAGTCAAACCATTCAGAAAGTCATACCTCTTGATGGCTCTGCATTCACTCTGTTTGTGGCAGCTGAAATAAAGGAAGACAAACAATGTACATTTTTATGTATTTCTCTTATAAAATGTTCTTTAACTTAATTCATGGTGGGAATTTTATTTTTTATT
The DNA here is from genome assembly GCF_000001405.40 of Homo sapiens. Classification (NCBI taxonomy): domain Eukaryota; kingdom Metazoa; phylum Chordata; class Mammalia; order Primates; family Hominidae; genus Homo; species Homo sapiens. The sequence continues at coordinate 80,069,910 of NC_000013.11, forward strand.
TTCTAAATTTGTTACTTCAGCTAAAATCAGTGTTTATTTTTTCATTTTTAATTTCCTTTATTATATCATAGAAACAGAGAACAAGTGGTAAAAACAGTGTTGCATTAATTCACAGAAGCAATCAGGAAGAGACAAAGCTCAACAAACGAATTGAACCTTAAGGGGGAGAAAGCTTTGTTACACCCAATGAAGCTAAGCTTTGGGGGAAGTTAATACTTCTTCAACAGCTGTACTAAGAACATTAAAAATACTTTTGCCAGGGAAGGGTATCAACATTTTAATCTACCTTACACAGATAAAAAGGAAAACACATAGCAAGGAGGAGGTGGAGCAGGTTTTCACAGAGCCCAGACGGTAGAAACAAAACGTCCTTTGTTTGGAGAATATTGCACCTGCATTAAATTTACTGCTGACATCTCTTCGTAGAAATTTGATTTTTCTCTCATTCCCCCTCCTTTTATTGTTTTCAACACTGAGGAATGTGAGGCATGCCAGTTGTCCTTGTCGCTGCAATGTCTCTGTCTTCAGCTGTGAAAGAGAACAGGGCTTCCTCACCTTGCTTGCCATCAGCCCGTCATCTCCGCAATGCACCTGCACCGTAATACTACACTCTACCTTGCAGAGCTTCATACTTCTGTGACAGACGCCAGAGATCAATTTCCTGCCGATCTGGGCCTCTGAGTCTAGGCCCTGTTCTGACAAGGAAGGTCTCTTTCAAATAATCCTAACCGCTAAGAGCAATGCAAATACAGTCACAGAACCATTAGCAGAGCTGTAATATCATAAAAGAAGGAACCATGGCCATAGGCACAGTGGTTGTGAGAATTTCTTTTTTGGGGGGACAGGGGGAAGAGGTATTCATAATCTCAGTGTCAATATAATGAGTTGACTGACATTTTACATGTTTTCTAAAAATTCCACATTGTTGCCAAAGGAGAGACTGTGAGTGTAACGGACAGCACATATTATGAATTTTGTTCAGAAGTTATTTTACCTATGAAAGTTTTCTATTTTACAGATTCGTTCAGCTTTGATACTCATGTTTAGGCCCTTGAAACTTTTTCAGAGTCATTATAAAGGCAGACTCTATCTCATCTTTGTATAGTGTGTTCACCTGTATAATTGCACCTGTAATTCAGCCTGGCAGTTACTTATTTATTGAGCTATCACCTCGTCTCCTACATCATGAGTCCCCTTGGACAGAGTTGGGCTGTATTCCCTATCCTGCATCTCCATCTCTGCAAATCCCTACTATATGTTTGTTTCTGTGTGTGTGTGTGTGTGTGTGTGTGTGCGCGCGCGCGCACATACGTGCGCATTTTGGTTTTTATTTTATTTTATTTTATTTTTTTGAGATAGGATCTCACTTTGTCACCCAAGCTGGAGTGCAGTGGCATGATCATAGCTCACTACCATCTTGAATTCCTGGGTTCAAGCAGTTCTCCTGCCCCACCCTCTCCAGTAGCTGGGACTACAGGTATGCACTACCACACCTGGCTAATTTTTTATTTACTTTTTATTTTTTATTTGTAGAGATGGGTCATGCCACCTTGATCAGACTCATCTTGAACTCCTGGGCTCAAGCCATCCTCCTGTCTCAACCTCTGAAAGTGCTGGGATTACAGGCATGAGCCACAGCGTCTGGCTTAATTTTTTTTTTTTTTTTTTTTTTTTTTTTGAGACGGAGTCTCGCTCAGTCACCAGGCTGGAGTGCAGTGATGCGCTCTGGGCTCATTGCAACCTCTGTCTCCCAGGTTCAAGTGATTCTCTTGCCTCAGCCTCCCAAGTAGCTGGGACTACAGGCGTCCGCCACCACGCCCTGCTAATTTTTGTATTTTTAGTAGAGACAGGGTTTCACCATGTTGGCCAGGATGATCTCGAGCTCCTGACCTCGTGATCTGCCTGCCTCAGCCTACCAAAGTGCTGGGATTACAGGTGTGAGCCACCGCACCCGGCCTTAATTTTTTTTTTTTTTTAATGCACTGGTGGGTTGTCAATTTCATTAGTCACCTCCTAAGGTAAACTGGGGGTACAATAACACTTCTTGCCAAAATGATGTCACTTTGGCTTTGACTTAGAACTCAGAAATTTATCTTGAATAAGGAAAGAGGAGAAGAAAGAAGAGAAAAGGTAGCGAGCAGAGAAAGATGCAGTGCTTTATCTTCTAGTCAGAATACATGGTTCCAAATGTGGCTGTTAACACCTACATGTTGGGTGACTTTCACAACTTATTTAACACCTATCATGCTCTTTACAGTAAAATGGAGATAGTAATCGAATGTAGCAGATGAAATGAGAAAATAAATGTAAAATGCTTTCCAGTGCTTGCTCCAGAGGAAGAAGTCAATAAAAATTAGCAGTTAGGGCTATGAAGGTGAGAAGAAACATTGACTTAAGTTTATTGAGATATTATCTTCAGATCATAACTTGAACAAAAGTTTCAGAAAGTCAGAGGCACAATTAGGAAGCCTTAAATTAGAAGTCATGCCTTAAGTCATCTGCTCTTTCTATTCATCCAGAAACCACCAGGCAAGGCCTGCTCTCTACACTATTTTTTGCTTTAGGAACACCTACAAACCTCTCTCTCACATTGCAGATGTGCCAAGGGTTGACTGATTTTTGATAAGAAGGCAGAATTACAATGGTAGCCTTTTAGATGTCTTTTCTCATATTAAGACTATACCCTGCATTTTTTATTTTACTATTTTAAACTTCAACATGAGAGTACCTGAGGTCATTTTAAGCACCATCCTTGAACTTGACTATAATCATCCAATTTGCAGTAGCCTAAAACGATCATATCTCTCCACATTCCATGGCCATGTCCAACTTGCACCTAATCTGTGAGATGCAAATTTAACATCAGCTCATAAATGAGACATTCTTTTGTGGATATTTCAATCCTTTCCCCTATTTCCCCAAGACTCTTGCTTATCAGGAAGTCTGGAAAGGAAAACCAATATTTTGTCCTAAAAATATTGTGTGTTCTTATGTAACTTTTAATGGGATGCTTATAAATGAGACCTAAATATGCCCCATTTCTTTAGTTTATGAGGTCACGCTATAATATTTATATTACAATGTTTGGCCCTGATCACAGATGAGTTTTGGAACTTCAATCATTTTGTCCGGTTTCTTATTTGCTAATTCCCAAACGTTTCTGGCCTGTGAAGACCTGCATATTCCCCAAATCCACTCTGATTGTTGCCTGCCCTTTGGTCAGCTGTCCTTTCCACTCTTGGTTCGGGGTCCTCCTGCCGTCTGGAGCCCAGCTTCCCTGCCTTCCCCTCTACCAGTTCATCTCAACTTGGTGCAGAGACCCTCTGCTCAGACCCCCAGAGTAGTAGCTAAGACTTGACCATGAACTTATTTAAAGTCTTGAGAATAACAAAAGGATCTTTACACCGGTCATCAGATATGGCTTTTCTAAGAATCCAAAGGCCACATCTCTCCATAGGAACCCACCGTTCGACACTTACCTCTGCCGAGATGTGGTCCTGCCGCATGTTGCTGGGCTGGGCTTCTCCCCAGCACATCTTCCAATGGTAGTGCCTCAAACACATCTCCCTTATTCCATTCTAAGTTGTCCGCTGTGGACCGTCTATTTCTCAACTCTAGAAAAGGAAGGGGCATTTCTGACTTCATATCAGTCCAGAGCCTGACTCCCAAGTCATTATTTTCTCTCAGGAAAAATATCTTCTGAAATGTTCTACACTGAAACTCGCCATTTCTTTCCAGGGAAAGCCATCCTTAGGGACATTATCTTGCCTTTATGCCCCATTAGTACGCAATGGTCGGTCATGTGTATATTTTGTGCATAACGTGTGTTCAGCTTCAATAGTTCGACCCAGCGTGGGGAGATCATGTCTCTGTGTCTCCTCAGCCATCTGATACTCTATTCCATACCAGGACATAGACAAGAACAGAAGTGCAAAACTTTGATGAATAAGCAATGCATTTCGGAGCCAGTGCATTGTAAATCCATATTTAGAAAGGGATTTTCTAAAGTTAATTTCCTAAAGTAAAAAATTCAGATTCAGCTTTGTCTACCTGGAAGACAACTTTCCATATGAGGTAAAGCTATTTAACTTTTGGAGCCACATTGTCATTGATCTATCCATTCCAGAAGAAAGTTGCATGTTACATTTGCATAACCAAAGGGCCAAGGCAAATGTTATTTTTCTTAAAATAAAGGAGTCGTTTGCTCTCCAAAGTAAAAAAAAAAAGCATCCACCTCTAAGAAGCTTTTCCCATTTCTAGTCATGTGCACATTTTCAACATTTTGGGGGTTTAATCTCAGCTAAAATATTTGCACAACTGATATGGGAGTGCTGGGAAGGGAAGAGTGTGGTCCCTTTAAATGATAGGGAAAGGGGAAGGAAAGTTCTGGGCAGAGGAGGGCGTGGTCCCTGGCTAGGGCTCCACCCCCACGGACCTGGGTGAGGACAGGCACTCCTGCCTTCTAGCCCAAATGCTGCATTTTTCAAGACAACCCTGGCCCGCCATGCCCCCATCCTGGGCCTATAAAAACGGGAGACCTTAATGGGCCAAAGTGAGAGAAGCACTTACGCGGAAGAAGAGACAAGCGGCTGGTAGTCAGAGGGCTTCCAGAGGAGCACACTGGCAGGAAAGCACACCGACAGGCACTGGCAGGCCAGCAGGCCATTGACCCAGCAGGCCATCGACCAGCAGGATGAAGCAGAGTTTGGCCGGGGCAGTTGGAGAAGAGCCAGGGCTTCTGAGCACCGCAAGGCCAGGGGAAAACCATCTCCCTTCTGGCTCCTCCATTGGCGGAGAGCTGCTTCCACTGGATAAAACTTCGCACTCATTCTCCCATGTGTGATCTGATTCTTCCGGTACACCAAGGCAAGAACCCAGGATACAGAAAGCCATCTGTCTTTGCGACCAGGTAGAGGGTCTAATTGAGCTGGTTAACACAAGCTGCCTATAGACAGCAAACTAACAGAGCACCCTGTAGCACACTCCCAGTGGGGCTTCAGGAGCTGTAAACATTCACCCCTAGACAATGCCAGGGGGTCAGAGCCCCACAACTGGCCCGTCTGTATGCTCCCATAGAGGTTTGAGCAGCAGGGCACTGAACAATCGGAGCCACACCCCTATCTCACACACTGTGAGGAGGACAAGGGAACCTTTCCTGTTTCATAACCACACAACAGGATATCGTGTTAAAATCAATTTTTGATCTCTGAATTGGTATTTTTTGTTCTCTGTATTCCCCAAGGTAGCAAGGCCCTTTGCATTCTTTACCTCTGGATACCTACAATGTGGAAGTCAGAGACTTTGGTAAAAATCTAAACTCATTGACTATTTAAGGATTCTGGGCATGTGAGAAGAGAGACAGATAAATATTTTTTGTGTTTTGTTTGTTTGGTTGGTTTTCGGTGAATTGTTTTTTGTTTTTTTTCTTTGAGACAGAATCTTTCTCTGTCACCCAGGCTGGAGTACAGTGGTGCGATTTCAGCTCATTGCAATCTCCGCCTCTTTGGTTACAGTGATTCTCATGCCTCAGCCCCCCAAGTAGCTGGGACTACAGGCATGTGCCACCACGCCTGGCTCATTTTTGTATTTTTAGTAAAGACGGGATTTCTCTATGTTGGCTAGGCTGGTCTTGAACTCCTGACCTCAACTGATCCACCCACCTTGGCCTTTTAAAGTGCTGGGATTACAGTCCTGAGCCACCGCACCCTGCCCAGGTGCATACTTTTGATGGGGAAAAATAGGAAAGAGATAGATTTTTCTCTAAAAATACTGGTGGGGCCGGGCGCGGTGGCTCACGCCTGTAATCCCAGCACTTTGGGAGGCCGAGGCGGGCGGATCACGAGGTCAGGAGATCGAGACCATCCTGGCTAAAACGGTGAAACCCTGTCTCTACTAAAAATACAAAAAATTAGCTGGGCGTGGTGGCGGGCGCCTGTAGTCCCAGCTACTCGGGAGGCTGAGGCAGGAGAATGGCGTGAACCCGGGAGGCGGAGCTTGCAGTGAGCTGAGATTGCGCCACTGCACTCCAGCCTGGGCGACAGAGCGAGACTCCGTCTCAAAAAAAAAAAAATACTGGTGGATCCCTAATGCAGTGGGAATCTTCACACCACTTCCACACAAGGCCTCAGAGAAATGAAAACCGTAGAGTAGATAACTTCTGCCAATTGTAGAAGCTCCCTGCCTCACCAGAGATGCCCAAGATTGAGTAAAGTCCAGTGCAGCCAGGCCACCAAACCTGATGGGAACCCTTGCGCTGGGAGAGTATGGAACTCCAAGGTAACAAATGTGGACCAGTGATAGATGTGGCGGTGCCCTTGCCTGGGATGTGGCACTCTGAGACCTTTACAGATTTATGAAGATTTAAAGGGATTTCTACATGTGAGAATGTGAACTAAGATTCATATTTCCCTTATGAGAAGGGTACTTGCAGAATCCCCATTTCACAGTTGAAGAAGTTGAGACCCAGAGGGACATTCACTTATCTGTGTTCTAATTTCTCACAGACAGAAGGCAACAGAGCTGAGCATTGCATCCAAACCTGCTTAACCTCAAATTTGTGTCTTTTTAACCAAAACTCTCTGACTTTCGGTTTGATCAAAAACTGGGGAAGATAATGTCTAGTGGAGAAACCTAGCAGACACCAGCTCTACCAAATGATTAAAGAAACACTATGACACAGCAACATCATGAACCCCTTGACACGATGCACTAAGAAAGACAAAACATAATTTACTTTTATGCTCTTAACAAAAATGTATAACCTGTGTTCAAACACAAGTACATATCAGAAAAACCCAAATTAAGGGACATTCTGCAAAATGAATGACCACTCTTCTTCCAAAGTGTGGAAGACTATCATGAAAGTCAATGAAAGACTAAGGAACTATTACAGACAGGAGACTAAGAGAAACAGCAACTACCTGCAATGGAAGATTCTGGATTGATCATAGAATAGAAAAAAAAGGACATCAATAAAAATTGGTGAAGTTCAAATAAGATCTGTAGTTTAGTTGATAATAATGTAGTAAAGTTAATATCCTCTTCTGGACAATTACACTATGAGAAATTATACCGTGAGAGAGAAAAAAGGTAATATTTTAGGCAAAAGAAAAAAAAGACCAGGAACCCTCATTTTTCTTACACTTTTTCACAACGCTTATCTTGGCCACCTGTGAAAGACCACTGCATACCCAGAAAGCCACCATCATAATTCTGGTAAATATTGGCCCCAGGCATTAACTTCAGTTTGAATATAACTTAGACCCTACAAGATCTCTAGCACCTTTTTTTTTTTTTTTGAGAAAGTTATCAGGGAACAGTTCCCTTCTTTATTTACAGGATGTTTATACGAACTCAGATATACTCATGCAGTCATAAACCCAAAAACAAAACGAAAGAGGCTAAGTTATACTGATACACGTTGAACTCATGTTACATTTTTGCTGCAACATTAGCGAGTGGCCATGAAGCATATTATTGATAAAGATCAGTCTAGGTGGATTCCATCTGTGTCCACAGTAAAGATGAAGAACGTGCATTCATTCATTCATTCATTCATTCATTATTCGTTATTCGTTCAGGAAATGTTTATTAAGCCCTACTATCCATCAGGCAATACTCTAGATTATGGGGATATCATGTGGAATAAGACAGAATCATTGCCAAAAAATTGTTTGTGCAACTATAAATATTGTGTCAAAAATAAAACAGAGTAGTAGAACGTGACCTGCCGGGAAGATGGGGTGGAGTGAGGAATGCTACTTGACTCAGATGATCAGTGACTAGTTGTCTGAGGAACTGTCCTTTGAGCTGTGACCTGACAGAGAATAAATGGTGTCCATGCACAGTTCCAGAAAGAGTGGGGAGGAATGCTCCAGAGAGGGGCAAACTGGAGAGGTCATGAAACAAAATCTGGAGTTAGACTCTGGGTTTGAGTCATGGTTCTTCGAGTTGTTAGTTGTTTGATCTAAGTTCCTTAATCTTTTTGTCTCTCAGTTTTCTCATCTGTGAAATGGGACCAATAGGAGGACTGAATGCATAGAATACTTAGAATAAAGTGCTTTTTGTGTTTGATAAATAAATATTTGCACTTGGAAGCAATTGGTAAAGGAAAGTTTGAGGTGTGTAATAATTGCACTGAATTTCAAGGTTTGGAGCTGGAACTCTATGTGGAGCAACGAGTAGATGGAAAAGCTGCTTAGAAACAGCTCAGGCTCCTTGGGTAACTTCAAGTAATCTGGAAGGGATGGGAGCACAGAAGTGTGCACGGGGATATTCTGGTTTTCTATGGCTATATGACAAACTAGCCCAAAACTCACTGCTTTAAATAACAATTCATTATTATATCTCACAATTCTAGGAGGTGATGGGCTCAGCTAATGACTCTCATGTGATTGTGGTAAGATGGCAGTGGGGGGCTGGATTCCTCTGAAGACTTCTCACCTCACAGCCTGACTGCCAGGATGGAATGGCTGGAGCAGTCAGAGGATAGGTAGGCACCTCTCTCTGCCAGGCCTCTCCATGTGGCCTGCTTGGAGTCTCTCACAAATGGTGGTCTCAGGGTAGTCATACTTATTACCTGGCAATTTCTCCTAGAGCAAAAGTTCCAAGAGACAGGGAGCAGAAACTGCTAGTCTCATAGGCCTGGACTTGGAATCTGGCACAGTGAGGCCCCCACCACATTCTCTTGGTTGAGGGAAGCACAAACCAGTCGAGTCAGAGGAGGAGACATAGACTGTAGCTTTGGATTGGAGAAGGGTCAAAGAATGCATGGACAATTTTAATCAGTTTCAAGGGATGATGAGAGGCAGGGTTCTGAGGGCACGAGGGGGATGTCTGTATTCTGGAGGGCCTTATATGACATTCAGTCATATTTGAGCTTTATTTGGTAGGTAATGTTGGAATCATTTTGAATTTTAACCATGGATATACCAAATCTCTAGATGCTGTAAGTGAAGACAAGATAAAATGGATTCTTTTATTCTAAATATGTAGTGAACACATGCATAAGGGAGAGTAGAGTCATGTATTATCCTTCAAATCTGAAAGGTTATGCTTTCCTTTCTGTACTGCTTCCTTGCAGAGAAATTATCTAATGGTCACAAGTTGGTCCTAAGGGGTAGAGAGATGCAATTATGACCAGGCTGCATTATAGAGAAGAGGTGGGTTTGGAGATGATTCTCTGCCTACTACTCAGAATTTCTCATCAGTTTTATTGCTTTGATGTACTAGAGAATATTTTGGGCTGGGAGAATTAACTAATATTGGCTGGGTAGATGTTGCCTTTTTTATACAGCTCAATTTAGAGGAGTTAAGCTGATTTTGTAGCAGTTCCATAGCAGCTAGTTCTGTGAACAATGTAGACATAGTTCATTTTCTGCAAACATTTATGTAATCATTAATTAAAATTTTCTTCCCCCAAGTGTCTATTTTTTAAATTAAGGCCCAATAATTTAGAAAGTTGCTCAAGAAAAGAACATTTATATAGTTCTAAAACCTAAAGCAATCTGACTTTGGTCAACAAAATCCTACCTTGAATGGCCAGGATTAAGATTTCTTATTTTGTATATAGGTTTCCAGCAATAATGGAATAAGTACCTGATATGGATAATATGTTACCTTCTTCACCATGAAAAATTAATCATGTACTTCAAAATAGTTTCTTCTTCTCTAATTATTTTCCCAAGCCACAGGGCTTTATTTAACAAACACATACTTCCCACTTATGCGCCAGGCATGTTTCTAAGTACTGTATGAATAATAACTCATTTTCTCATCATGACTACTCTAGGAGGTGATTGCTGTTATTAGCATCCTTTGTTTTATCCATGAGGCACAAAGCAATTAGAAACACAGCTAATAAGTGACAGAGCTAGGATTCAAACCCATGCACCTGGGATCCAGACTTCATATCTTCAAACCCTGTGTGCTGCTGCCTCTATTTTAGCCTCTACATAACTCTATTTTAGCCCTCGACATTATTATACCATTACTGCAAGCTCCTTGATGGCATACATTCTGACTGATTCTTCAGTGCATCCACAGTATCTAGCTTTGTACTTAGCAAATAGAAAGTATCAAATAAACGGGTTTGCCTAAACCGGGTTAACAATAGGACATATAAATGATTCTAAGGCCTTCTGACCTGTCTTTCAATAGGATGGTATTACCCAACAATTATGACGTCTACACATACTTTTCATTTTCAATCACATTGGGACAAATTTTTATCTTTATCTCATTTCTGCTTTCTCCTGTATGTATAAGTGCTGATATTTTACTGCTCTCTACAAAGAGTAAAGTCTATTATGGTCTTACAACTTAAATTTGATTCCAAGACAAAGGTTAATTGGTAAAGATTATTTCCCAAGCGTTAATATTGTACATGAATCAGAAGGTCAGATGGCATTTCTGGATCTGACAGCTCTTATCATAATGAAGGTTTGAAAGAAATGTCATCTTGCGTACTAATTAATGGTTTTAGCCCTAGTGAGAGATCTTTTATTTAACGCCAGTAAGTTAATCGCAGTTGATGTCTGTGAACTGTCAACTCTCAAGCTATGCATCTATTTGAGGTCATTGCTGACAAAACCCCTATTTTACAGGCAAGATCACTGAATATACATCACTTGCCAATGTATCATAGACATTTGAAAACTTATAGAATTCAGCAAATATTGTTCATTTTATTTACTCATTTTTTAATAGTAATTACAAACTATGAATGGAAAAAGCTATAATTTAATCATTGGACTACATACATTCAATTTTTAAAAAAGACTCTGCTAAATAGAAAAGTGTTTGAAGTATTTATTTTTCCCTAAGTAAAAAAGTAATTTTGTGAGACAGTCACAATTATAATCCTGATTTCTAAAATTTATTAATTTGAGATCTTCATTAGAAGAATTGAGACATTTTTTCTTCTGAAAACAAGACACATACACAAATATATATATATATATGAAAAACTTCCAATATTTAAGAAGTATTTCCTCTGAACATTCTTAGTTACAAATGCTATTTTAAATTTTTTCTGAAGTGAGTTTATTTAGACGAGATTGAGCGCATTCAGGGTGGTATGGCTGTAGACTGAAATAAGTTTATTTAGAAATCTAGATCATTTTATACTCCAGGCTTCATGTATATGATATTTCTTATATTTCTTATGAAAAATAAAATCTTTTTTTACAAAAATCAAACTCAAAGTCTCTGAAAATTAAACATATGAAAAGATAGAAAGATAATTTCAATATTGTTTTTGGGATGAGTTTAAGATGCATAAAATGAGCCAAGGATATTATAATTGGGATATCACACAGTCTGGAGATCTAATAAAACTGCAGACCCCCAGCCTCCATTTCCTTTTAGGACAATGTTATCTGATCTCCTACGACTAGCTATTAGTCTGGCTTGTCAGCTCTCTCCATTGGACTGAGAAAAAACCATCCTTTACCTCACTTCTCATTTTTAAATATGTGGGGTTGGGGGTGGATTAGGAAAAGCACAGAATATGCCAAATGAAATGGTGTGTTTTAGCAAAAGAGTTTTATAATTTTATCTTTCCTCTTCAACTAGGGAATAACCCTAATTATAACGGAGGTTCTGACAGTAATCAAGACAGATCAGATAGTATCTAGGGAAACTAGGTAGTTAGATACTAAAGTCAGCAGATTTACTTAAAAGACCAGAGACTTTGGAATATACCAAGAAGTTAACAGCTATATGCTTATGAACTAAAGTCCTCTAATGTTGAGATGACCTCTTACGTGGTAATTGATAAATGAAAATGCATACTTTAAGGAAAAATCAATTATACAATAACTTGTTTTCCTGCTATTAATTCTAAGAGTTCCAGTTTCCAGGTTTGAGGCAAACCTGTGTCATGCTAAAGACATAGTTTAGCTCTTAATCATCTTATGTTTGCTTTCATTGACTTTCCCAAAGGCACCAGGCTGAGCATAGGCATCATTTATGGGATAACAGACAAAGAGATTTTGGCGACCATGAAATCGATCTCTTTTCTTTGTTTTTCAGGTAAGAAAAATAAGTGAGCTATTGAGGTCACACGGTTATTTAAGACCTGGTTCATACCAAAGCCAGAGGTGAAGTCCCAAACGCCCAGTGTGATCTTTTGATTAACATGCATACAGTAAAGTAATTGCTACAAAAGTATCATAAAGGCAAGCAGGGCATTATTTATATAGGAGGAATTGACATCTACTCTATTTCAACAATATTAATTGCTATTAACTCAATATTTTTTCAGTTTTAGGTGTAAGAATTCAGTCACTGTTTCTGTTATTAAATCATGGACTGTAACCTCTTACTTGATTACTTGAATAAATTGAAGACTTGGGAGGTGGAATCACTTGCTCAAGGGCATGCAGTTAGTTGCCAAGCAAACACCAGGTAACTGAGTCCTAGTCTGTGACTTTTTCCCACACCATCATGCTTTGTTCAGAGCCTTCCTCTTAGACCTGAGAAGTGATGAAATTTGGAGTCATGCAGGAGAGGAAGGTTGGAGGTGGGTGCTGTCAGGCAGGGAAACTAAACATCTTTCCTTACTCTACTAGCTCCCAGGACCTCAGAAGTTTGAGAGAGGACACAGTTATGGAAGCCCTTCCAGAGCTAAGGGCTTACAACTACTTACAAGGCATTATTTAGGACACTGCCTGGTGCTAGGATGTTTTGCCAAAAGGCCATGTTGTCACACTGCATGAAGCCCAAAGACTGTGTCCCTTGTGCTTGCTGAATTTTAGGATATGAGACAGCCTGCATAAGGGAAATAAAACAAGATGAGTTTTCATCAAAGATAAAAATGTAAGGATTTGTTTATTCAAATATCTTCTGAGCAGGAATCTATAAACTCATTTCTCTTGTTTTAAAGCAAAAACTACACTGGAATGTCTTTTAACACAGTGCCAGAATTTGACATGAAATGGAAGAATGAATACAATAACTGCAGTAGAGTATGAGACAAGTCACACAAGCATGCCACCATGACTCCTCAACAATGCTGCTTTTGCAGAGGAGGGAGGGTTAAGGATGTGGTTGCTGTACACATTGGTGAACACAAATGAATTGACTCACAAGAAGTCCATGTTTCTGGATCAAAAGATTTCAGCCCTCCAAGAGCTGAAATAATAATAATACATCACAGGCCACATCCATCTATTATAGTTTTAAGGATAGTTTGTGGACATGAAGTATTATGAACCATAAGGGTTTGCAGTATTCTGTCTCAAGTTAATGCTATAGTACATCTTAACACCATTGACATTGGCATGCACTGTTCCTGCCTGAGGCATTAGTTGTCTAATTTGATCAAATTCAGACCCTATAATTTGAACTCAAGCCAAACCACAATCAAATCATAAAATTTCCAAAGCTGCCACCATCTTGGAAATGTCAAATGTTGGGTGAGGGGAGCAGGAAATGACTATACAGGGAATAAACAGAGCCTATGGTAATGAATTTTACATCTGGTCCTTATACGATGCCATCATTCCATTAGCTGTAATTTAAATATCTTGATTAACATTTCATTACCATAGGTGACTGCTGTAGAATAAATTGGATCTCCATGCACCATGCATATCAAAATATTCTAAACTCCTTTGAGTTTTAAGGTGCTAAATATAGTACTCTCTGGCCACTTAGAAAGTCTCTGAAGTCTGTTCGGTATTAAGCATAAAAAATAAACCTGAGAAAAAGGGATGTTTTTGTGTGCTCAGATATTACGGCCCGCTAAAAGCATGGACTGTTTTGGCAGTCACTGTCAGACCTCCCGGTGTCTGAGGAATTGTATGCTCCTTTCTAAATCCTTTCGGAAATTGCCAGTTTGATAGAATAACATTGCAGGAAACCACTCAAATTGAACATATTTGTTGTTTTATGTTCTGCCAGGCAAATGTCAGAACAATGCCAGGAGACCACAGTGGGTCAGAATTGGAGGGAGCAGGAGGGGAGGTGAAGGAAGGGAACCAGGAGCAAAAGAGACAATGAGAATAGAATCAGAAGTTATTTTAATGGGGAATTTTAAAAGCATAAAACAAACTGTTGCTTTTGAGAATCAAAAGCAAAATAGATTGTGTCTTCTAACTTGTCTTATATAGTCAACGGCATGACGTCCAATCTGTGAATTTTTGTTGCAAAATTTGATTATTGTGGTCAACAATTTTCTGGTAAATCCCTGCTCACTGGTCAATGATGCTGCCAAAAATGAAGGCTAAATAGATGACTCAGTTGTAGAACTCGCTCATGGAAGCTTATTCTTATGCTTTTATTCCACTTACACAAATCTACTTTACTACAAAGACATTCTTTTTTTTCACTTTTTGCATTCTTCAGTTACACAGCATGCCATATAAATCATTTTAATTAATTAGGAACAACAATTTGCCATAATCATTTATTCAATCTCATGTTTGAAGTCCTAGTGAAATAATTTTTTCTAGGTCTGACAGTATAATAGAACTTACTGGTAGTAATTCCAAAAAATAATCCTGCAGGAATTTATCTTTCCAGAAAGACCAGCATGGGAAAAGCTGTTGGAATGAGTGTGTTAGCTTTGACTCTTTTTTTTTTTTTTTTTTTTTTTTTTTTTTAAGTGGCTGACTCATAAATTAGGAACTTGATTCTCTCTTCCGGGCTTTGGATGGCTTCCTAATGAGCAGAAGGGCTGCTTTATTTATTTATTTACTAACCTTTGTGGATTCAAACCCTTGATAGCACTTAACACTTTAGTTACTGTGGTTATGTTAAATTAATATTGCAAGCACACAGTGCTGGCTTGATTAGCAGGAAAATCTTTTTGCCTTATCTCCACTCAAGTATTGAACCCAGCACCAAATACATGCTCACTATTTTTTGCTAGATTATCTTGCATTTTAGCACATGGAACAAATTTGATATTGATTAAAATTGAATGTTATTAATCTACTTTATTTTCCACATCAGTTTAAAAAGAAACTGAAAAAACCATGGCTTCCAAATGCACGTGTTTTGAGAGCAGCCAAATAGTGAAAACCATATCGTATTTTCAAATATACAACACCACACTCAGTAACTTTTAATTTTTTAATTTAATTTAATTTTTTAGAGACAGGATCTCACTCTGTTGCCCAGGCTAGAATTCAGTGGCTCGATGATAGCTTATAGCTTTATACCCCTGGGATCAAGTGATCCTCCTTCCTCAACCTCCTGTGTAGCTAGGACTACAGGCACATGCCCTCATGCCTGGCTAATTTTTTTTTTTTTTTTTTTGTAGAGATGGGAGTCTTACCATGATGCCAATGCTGGTCTCAAACTCCTGGCCTCAAGCCATCCTCCAGGAATTTTTTTAAAATCAGAATTTGAATTAATTTATTCTTTGTACAATATGAATGTTTACTCTTAGATACATACTTATCTAGTGTCTCTAAAATTGAGGATTTTCTTTTGATATGCATGGCAGAATATTTTGTGTGCTTTAGGATAACTATGGTGGACTTGATGGTAGATATTGGTTTTACTTAGCGGGTACCAATGGAGACGTAAAGGAAGGAAAGTGACTTGTCCAATGTTACAAAAAATTGTACCAATGGAGCTAAAGGACAACTGGAACTTATATTGCCAAAGCATTGTTAAATGAACACACACTTGTGATCTCATATTTTCTGCACTAATATATCTGCTTTGCCAAAGTAGCAAGAAAATAAGGTAATCATTTGTGGCTTTCACAGGCCTTCAGGCAAATGCAATACAATGAAAATTACACTCAGCGTATATAGTCAGTCCAGTCTTCCTGGTAGTCAACTTAGGTGGTCACATGTGTTGTGTGATTTGAAAGTTACAAAAAAGTTTCCCCTTGCTATGTATATCCTGAACTGCTTTTATTAAGGGTAGAAAGCTTCAACAGAGTGAACTTTTTTTTTTTTTTTTTTTTTTGATACGGAGTCTTGCTGTGTCCCTCAGGCTGGAGTGCAGTGGCATGATCTTAGCTCACTGCAACCTCTGCCTCCCAAGTTCATGCAATTCTCCTGCTTCAGCCTCCCGAGTAACTGGAATTACAGGCATGTACCACCACGCCTGGCTAATTTTTGTATTTTCAGAGACGGGGTTTTGCCACATTGACCACACTGGTCTCAAACTCCTGACCTCAAGCTATCCACCCACCTCTGCCTCCCAAAGTGCTGGGATTACAGGTGTGAGCCATCACAGCTGGCCTTTTGTGCAAATTTTTCTATTGCTCCTCAGGGAACTTCAACTAGGAGTATGCTCTAATTCACCCCTCCTCCAAACTTGCCCTTGATTAATTTTACTTCTCCCCAGCTCTCAGTTTAGATGCTCTTTCCTTAGATCTTCTCTAATGCCCTGTGACTATCAGCAAAGCATGATTTTTACATTTTTAAATGGTTGAAAAGAATCAGAAGGAAAAGATTTTATGATATACGCAAAGTACAGTCATGCATCTCTTAACGATAAGAATATATTCTGAGAAATGCATCATTAGGTGATCTCACCATTGAGCAAACATTGGGGTGTGTACTTACATAAACTTAGATGGGACAGCCTCCTACACACCTAGACTACAAACCTGTACAGTATGTTATTGTACTAAATACTATAGGCAACCATAATATAGTAAGTATTTATGTATCTAAACATAAGAGAGGTCAGTAAAAATACAGCATAAAAGGTAAAAGATAATACACCTATATAGGACACTTACTGGGAATGGAGCTTGCAGAACTGGAAGGTGCTCTGGGTGAGTCAGTGAGTGGTGAGCGAATGTGAAGGCCTAGGACATTACTGTACACTATGATAGACTTTATACACACTGTATACAGAAACTACACTAAATTTATACAAAAGTATTTTTCTTTCTTCAATAATAATTGACCTTAGCTTACTATAACTATTTTATTTTATAAACTTTTTAATCTTAACTTATTGATTCTTTTGTAATAACACTTAGCTTAAAATGCAAACACATTGCACTGCTGAACAAGAATAGTTTTATTCTTTATATCCCTTTTCTATAAGCGTTTTTCTATTTTTAACTTTTTAAGGCTTTTGTTAAAAACTATGACACAAACACATACATTAGCCTAGGCCTGCCCAGGGTCAGGATCATCACTGTGACTGCCTTCCACTTCTACATCTTGCTCCACTAAAGGCCTTCAGAGACGATAATACGCATGGAGCTGTCATCTCCTATGATAACTATGCCTTCCTCTGGAATACCTTCTCCTGAACGACCTGCTTGGGACTGTTTACAGTTAACTTTTAAAATAAGTAGAAGGAATAGACTATAAAATAAATTTTAAAAGTATGGTAAACACTGGGTGATAAGAATTTTTGAACTTCGTTATAATCTTATGAGATCGCTGTTGTATAATACAGTCCCTTCTTGACCCAAACATTGTTATTCGGTGGGAAACTGTATAGGAAATTCAAAGCTCAGTGTCCATAAAGTTTTATTGGAACATGCCAATTGTTTAAACATTGTCTATGAGTGCTTTCAAAATATGAAGGTAGAGTTGAGTAGTTGTCATAGTCTATGTGGCACCAAAGCCTACGATATTTACTATCCAGCCTTTTATGGAAAGAAAGTCTAGTTTGCTGACCCCTCTCCTAGACTTTTTGATCAAGTAAATGGAGACCTTTAAGTGTCCATACCACCTTGTGATGGCTAAATGTGTGTCTTCTCTAATGGAGTTAGAGCTTCATGGTGCAAGCCTATCTTTTGCAGCCTATCTTTTCCAGCACCTACAAGAAAATGCCAGGGTGTAGAGTAAGCCTTCAATAATGAAATATCAAATGTATTAACCCTTTCAAAAGATGTCTTATTTTATAACTGATTTTTAAAATAGTAATATTATAGTGATATATTACTTTCTCTATAGGTTTTTTGTTTGTTTGTTTTTACTTTAAGTTCTGGGATACTTGTGCAGAACATGCAGGTTTGTTACATAGGTATATGTGTGCCACGATGGTTTGTTGGACCTATCAACTTGTCACCTAGGTTTTAAGCCCCTTATGCATAAGCTATTTGTCCTGATGCTCCCCTGCCCCTCATCCCCACCCCGACAGGCCCCAGTGTGTGTCGTTCCCCTTCTTGTGTCCATGTGTTCTCATTGTTCACCTCCCACTTATGACTGAGAACATGTGGTGTTTGGTTTCCTGTTTCTGTGCTAGTTTGCTGAGGATGATGGCTTCCAGTTCCATCCATGTTCCTGCAAAGGACATGATCTCATTCCTTTTTATGGCTGCACAGTATCCCATGGTGTATACGTAACACATTTTTTTTTTTTTTGAGATGGAGTTTCACTCCTGTTTTCCAGGCTGGAGTGCAATGGCATGATCTCGGCTCACTGCAACCTCCGCCTCCCGGGTTCAAGTGATTCTCTTCCCTCAGCCTCCCGAGTAGCTGGGATAACAGACACCTGCCACTGCGCCCAGCTGATTTTTGTATTTTTAGTAGAGATGGGGTTTCATCATGTTGGCCAGGCTGGTCTCGAACTTCTGACCTCAGGTGATCAGCCCACCTCAGCCTCCCAAAGTGCTGGGATTACAGGCGTGAGCCACCACACCCGGCCTTTTACCACATATTCTTTATCCAGTCTATCATTGATGGGCATTTGGGTTGGTTCCATGTCTTTGCTATTGTGAAGAGTGTTGCAATAAACATACGTGTACATATATCTTTATAATAGAATGATTTCTATTCCTTTGGGTAACCAGTAATGGGATTTCTGGGTCAAATGGTATTTCTGGTTCTAGATCCTTGAGAAATTGCCACACTGTCTTCCACAATGATTACACTAATTTACATTCCCACTAAGAAAGTAAAAGTGTTCCTGTTTTTCCACAGCCTTACCAGTATCTGTTGTTTCTTGACTTTTTAATAATCGCCATTCTGACTAGTGTGAGCTGGTATTTCACTGTGGGATCTGATTTGCATTTCTCTAACAATCAGTAATGTTGAGCATTCTTTCATATGTTTGTTGGCCACATAAATGTCTTCTTTTGAGAAGTGTCTGCTTATATCCTTTGCCCACTTTTCGATGGGGTTGTTTTATTCCTATAAATTTGTTTAAGTTCCTTGTAAATTCTGGATATTAGACCTTTGCCAAAGAGGTAGATTGTAAAAATTTTCTCCCATTCTGTAGGTTGCCTGTTTACTCTGATGATAGTTTCTTTTGCTGTGCAGAAACTCTTCAGTTTAATTAGATCCCATTTGTCAATTTTAGCTTTTGTTGCAATTGCTTTTGGCAATTTCATCATAAAATCTTTGCCCGTGCCTATGTCCTGAATGGTATTGCCAAGGTTTTCTTGTAGGGTTTTTATAGTTTGGGGCTTTACATTTGAGTCTTTAATGCATCTTGTGTTAATTTTGTAAAAGGTGTAAGGAGGGGTTCCAGTTTCAGTTTCCTGCTCATGACTACCAGTTTTCTTAGCA